>NT_167247.2:132458-173844 GCF_000001405.40 Homo sapiens
GGCCAGCCCAGCAAGGGGCTCCCACAGTGCAGCGGCGGGCTGAAGTTCTCCTCAAGCGCGGCCAGAGTGGGCGCCAAGGCCGAGGAGGCGCCTAGAGCAAGCGAAGGCTGTGAGGGCTGCCAGCAAGCTGTCACCTCTCAGTATGGCGGCTGGCTGTTTTAGCACCATGTCGTTTATTGTCATGCATTTGTAGGATTATGAAATGCTTCCTGAATTTTGCTTTTACAGTAACTTGTATTCATTCATGCATTTTTCAACCTGCTCACTCCAGTTCAAGGTCTTTGGTGGCTGAAGCCTAATTCAACTCCTCATAGTGTCAGGAGGGAACCCACCGTGGACAGGTGGCCATTCCATCACAGGGCGGGCTCATACACACACACACACACTCACACATATGCTCGCGTGCTCTTTCACTCAGACTGATGACGCTAGACTCAGACTAGATATGCTAATGAACCTAATGTGCACATTTTTGGGATGTGGGAGGAAACTCAGACAGTGGCTTCCAGGAGAAATAGACTTTTTTCTCATCAACATTATAACAAAATGATGTTGAATGAAACAACGTTATTCAAGGGTCTGCTGTACGCAGATTTTCCTATTTCTTTAGGTCTTCATTTTTGAAGGCTCTTGTGTCAATAAAATTTGTTTGATTTGTATGCTTTTCCTTTTTTTTTTTTTTTTTTTTTTGTTGTTGAGACAGAATTTCACTTTTGTTGCCCAGGCTAGAGTGTAATGGCGCGATCTTGGCTCACCACAACCTCCGCCTCCCGGGTTCAAGCGATTCTTCTGCTTCAGCCTCCCGAGTAGCTGGGATTACAGGCGTGTGCCACTATGCCCAGCTAATTTCGTATTTTTAGTGGAAATGGGGGTTTCTCCATGTTGGCCAGGCTGGTCTCAAACTCCTGACCTCAGGTGATCCACCAGCTTCAGCCCCCCAAAGTGCTGGGATTACAGGCATGAGCCACCCCACCCGGCCTGCTTTTCCCTTGTTAATCTATCTTTTATTATGAAGTGTCAGCCATGAACCTGGCACTGGGTGGGAAAAGATGTTTTTCTGCCCTAGACCTTCCTATAAGTGCTTTTGGGACAACACTGCAGGAGTCCCCAAAGGTGAAAATTTACCTGCGGGAGTTAATAAAAACAGGAATCCCCAGGCCTTACCCCAGAGACTGAGATGCTGAGTGCTTTCAGAGTCTCCAGAAAAGGGCCCAGGAATTATTATGGGGTGACAGATGTCACAGCTAGATCGTCCTCACATCTATGGAATATTGTGTTATTTAATATTTCCCAGTTGAATTTGATATTCAGGCAAGTTTGAAAACCACTGGGCCTGAAAATCTAGCCACAACAGAAACTGAAACTAGGATCTGGGGAAAGTTAACAAGGGGAGGAGAAAGATTGGAAAGTATTACAAGAAAAACTTGGGATTGTAACGTTCCCCCCAAACTGGGAAGGTCCCGGAAGACCAAAGACAGTCCAGCTTAATAAGCAGGTGAGTTTAGTAGGACTTAGATACAGGGTACTCCTGGGTGCAGCAGGATAGCTCTAGAGATCCATGCCGCCTCCTGTCTTTAAACTGTTTCTAAGTTAATTTTCTGGCTTTTTGCCTACTGTGTTTGAGCAATGAGACTGTTTTTCTTGGTAGGTTCTCAGATACTCTCTGGGATGTTTGTGTTCTCAAGGACACCTGCTCCTCTGCTGGGCATCGTGGCCTTGGCTCACCACTGGGCCTTCAGGGTTCAGGCAGTAGACATACACTCTTAAGTGACATGGTGGGTGATCTGTCATGCTGCAATCCACCCTGCCTCCCATCTCTTACATTCTTTCTGCCAATCTTGTGTGAGACTCCTTGAGTAGGGTGGAAGGAAAGAACTATACAGGTCTATAACGTCTAGCCATGGCTTGCGCATACAGGTCACATCTACAGTATACGTAGGAGCACAAAAAGCAGAAGTTAACTACAATTATAATGTCTATTAGCAAAACCTAATTCCCATGACTAGAGAAGCTGTGTAACCAATTTGAGAATGAGTAAAAGAAACCTAATTAGGTTATATCATGGATCTGAGTTGACAAATGGTTTAAAGTACCTCTGACATTACTCTCTTCATCAGGGAAATAGGTGCAACAGTTAGCACCTAGAAAGGCACATTTTGGGTCTTTGTCACGTTGGCGATTGAGCCTCTAGGTGGAGGCAATCCTTAGTGAGCCCGGGTTGCATTATCAGTGCTATTGTACAAGTCACTCCAGTTCTGTCAGGAGAAAGGCAGAGTATTTTAAGGCATATCATTATTATTTTATAGGGAGAGGTATCTGACTGGTTGTTGACTGCTTCTGGAGTTGCAGCTCAGTCTAGAAAGACATTACCAGCTGCCATGAGTAGCAGGAACAACCTATGGGTATAAACACAGGTGGTTAGTAGGAACTCTCACAGGCGTATTCACTCCTTGCAACATTTTTTTTTTTAATTTTTTTGAGACAGAGTCTTGCTCTGTTGCCCAGGCTGGAGTGCAGTGGCACGATCTCGGCTCACTGCAAGTTCCGCCTCCTGGGTTCACGCCATTCTCCTGCCTCAGCTTCCTGAGTAGCTGGGACTACAGGCGCCCGCCACCACATCTGGCTAATTTTTTGTATTTTTAGTGGAGACGGGGTTTCACCGTGTTAGCCAGGATGGTCTCGATCTCCTGGCCTCATACTCCACCCGCCTTGGCCTCCCAAAGTGTTGGGATTACAGGCGTGAGCCACCGCGCCTGGCCACACCTTGCAACATTATTATCATTGTGTTTTCTCCCACTGGCACTATTAGGGATGCCACTGTGGGCTTCAGGCCTGGATTACAAAACCACCCATGTCTTCTTTTCCTAGAAGCAGCCACAATAGCCAATTGATAAGTTTCCAGCCTTGCCCATGCTATCCATACTATAATTATTCCAGCAGGTATGGGTGCTGCCATCTGTTGATAAAGTAAGTCTCTCGGAACTCTATCAAGGAGCACAGCTGGGACCACTGCCCCTATGGCAGTTATCATGGCACCACCCTCCAGTACTATAAAACTAATCCAGTATGGAGGCATATTCCAGCTCAGCTTCAGGTCCCTGTAGCCATCACTGCTTGGCAGATCCACTGGTGTTCTCAGGAGCATGTCTCACCATCTGCCTCAGGAGCATGGCTCAGTGTCTTTGAGGTAACCCCGAGAGTTTGTGGGACATGTCTTACAGGCCTTGCCAACCATTTATAAGGAGTGATGCCATGTGTGCTAGTGGGTGACTCATTTAAAGTTTGTATGGCTTTATGGAGATTCTTAGTCCAGGAACTTAAAGAGCCAACCTGAAACAGTGCACACATCTGGGTCTTTAACAGGCCATTATTTCTTTCTGTAAGTCCTGCCTCTGTTGGATTGTGGTGGTAAGTGGAACCTCCAGTCTATATTTTCTTCTTTTTTATTTTGAGACAGAGTCTCGCTCTGTTGCCCAGGCTGGAATGCAATGGTGCGATCTCGGCTCACTGCAACCTCCGCCTCCCGGATTAAAGCAATTCTCCCACCTCAGTCTCCCAAGTAGCTGGGACTACACGCATGCGCCACCACGCCTGGCTAATTTTTGTATTTTTAGTAGAGATGGGGTTTCACCATGTTGGCCAGACTGCTCTCAAACTCCTGACCTCAAGTGATCTGCCTGTCTCAGCCTCCCAAAGTGCTGGGATTACAGGCATGACCCACCGCACCTGGTCCAGTCTATATTTTCTTCTGATGCCCAGTGTTGGATATCTTTGCTATGCCCATCAATGTACCAGGGCCTAGCAGATATTGGCGGGGTACCCTTATATATGGTGGTTGGCCTGATGGGTGGCTCCACTGCCATGTTGGCTCCCTCCCATAACTGAGACCAAAACCCTATAGGTACCATTCCCATTAGTTGCTTTTGCCCCAAACCTAAATTCATCCCTGTGACATCTCTGGTGATTACTAATACAGCAGTAGAGTCTGTATGCTTGGGCTTGTTTCACCAATATTTTTGTTTTGTCAAATGCCTCTTGTTCTATTTATGTCATCTCATTTTTTACCTGTCTTTATTAGGGTGTATAATGGGTGGAGTATTTGTGCCAGATGAGGAATGAATATCCTCCAGTAGCCCAGTAAACCTAGGAAAACCTGGAGTTGCTCTACTGTCTGGAGAGCAGACTACTATGCTATCTTATCAATGACGGCTTTGGGTATGTTTCACATCTTACCCAACCAGGTAACTCTCAGGAATTTGACAGGCATGCCAAGCCTCTGTATATTTTTGGGGTTGATTTTCTATCCCTCCTTCAGGCTGTCCAAAACAGTTTGTAGGATAGTCTCCAAATCTGTAAGAGACTCTAGGGTAGCATGTTATCATTAATATAGTGAAACAGGGAGACCAAGGCAGGCAAAGAGATTATAGACAGCTCCTGTGTAACCATACTGTGAGAGATGGCGGGGCTTTGCAGATGCCCCTGTGGTGACACCTGGAAAGTCCATTCTTGGTCCTCCTAAGTGTAGACCAACTGTGAATCTTCAGCTGAAAGAATACTGGAAAAGGTATTAATGCAGTCAGTCACAGAATGGATACTTCCCAGCTTCGGTACTGCTTGCTCTAGCAGTTGAGCAATATTGGATACAGCTGCATGTACAGGGCGTACCACTTTGTTCAGCTAGCGGTAATCCACCATCATCTTCCAGGCATCACCTGGCTTCTTCACAGGCCAAACAAGGCTGCTGTAGGGGCTCTGGGCCAGTCTGACTATTTGTACCTTATGTACTTTCTGGATTGTTTGGGTGATTTCAGAGTGCCCCCCCAATAGCAGAAAGTATTGTTTCATGTTCATTACCTGCAAGGATACAGGTGCATATTTGGCCTATCCCCTTTTTGCTTTCTCTGTGGACCTGATCGTTATTTTTATCCAGCTCACTGAGGTCTGCCAATGCTTCCCCCCATCACAGATTTCATTTCCCACTAAGAGGCTCAGAAGTGTTGTCTGAAATTGGTGGGTTCTATGGTCTCACTGACTTCAACAATGAAACCGCAAACCCTCACAGAGAGTGTCACAGCTCTAAAGTTCGCGGGCGTGGAGTCTGTCCCTTCTGATGTTCAGATGTGTCCGCAGTTTCTTTTTTCTGGTGGGGTCGTGGTCTTGCTAGCTCAGGAGTGAAGCTGCAAACCTTTGCAGTGAGTGTTATACCTCATAAAAACAGCGTGGACCCAAAGAGTGACCAGTTGGAAAATTTATTGCGCATAGTGAAAAAAACAACGCTTTCACAGTGCAGAAAAGACAACCCAGCGGGTTGCTAATGCTGGTTCGGGCAGCCTGCTTTTATTCTTTTATCTGGCCCCACCCACATCCTGCTGATTGGTAGAGCCGAGTGGCCTGTTTTGTCAGGGCGCTGACTGGTGCGTTTACAATCCCTGGGCTAGATACAAAGGTTCTCCTCGTCCCCATTAGATTAGTTAGATACAGAGTTTCCACATACAGGTTCTCCAAGGCCCCACCAGAGCAGCTAGATACAGAGTGTCGATTGGTGCACTCACAAACCTTGAGCTAAACACAGGGTGCTGATTGGTGTGTTTACAAACCTTGAGCTAGATACAGAGTGCCGATTGGTGTATTTACAATCCGTGAGCTAGACATAAAGGTTCTCCACGTCCTCACCAGAGCAGCTAGATACAGAGTGTCGATTGGTGCACTCACAAACCTTGAGCTAAACACAGGGTGCTGATTGGTGTGTTTACAATCCCTGAGCTAGATAAAAAGACTCTCCACGTCCCCACCAGACTCAGGAGCCCAGCTGGCTTCACGTAGTGGATTCCGCACTGGGGCTGCAGGTGGAGCTGCCTGCCAGTCCTGCGCCCTGCACTCGCATTCCTCAGCCCTTAGGTGGTCGATGGGACTGGGTGCCGTGGAGCAGGGGGTGGCGCTCGTCCGGGAGGCTCGGGCCGCACAGGAGCCCACGGAGGGGGGTGGGAGGCTCAGGCATGGCGGGCTGCAGGTCCCGAGCCCTGCCCCGTGGGAAGGCAGCCAAGGCCCGGCGAGAAATCGAGCACAGCGCCGGTGGGCCGGCACTGCTGGGGGACCCAGTACACCCTTCGCAGCCACTGGCCCGGGTGCTAAGTCCCCCATTGCCCGGGGCCAGCAGGGCTGGCTGGCTGCTCCGAGTGCGGGGCCCACCAAGCCCACGCCCACCCGGAACTCCAGCTGGCCCGCAAGTGCGGCACACAGCCCTGGTTCCCGCTCGTGTCTCTCCCTCCACACCTCCCTGCAAGCTGAAGGAGTGGGCTCCGGCCTTGGCCAGCCCAGAAAGGGGCTCCCACAGTGCAGTGGGGGACTGAAGGGCTCCTCAAATGCCACCAAAGTGGGAGCCCAGGCAGCGGAGGTGCCGAGAGCAAGCGAGGGCTCTGAGGACTGCCAGCACGCTGTCACCTCAGTGTGACCAATGCCCTATATTATAAATGCCATTTTTTGAATTGGAAATGATCCAGACATTCAACAAGTACTTAAAACAATTTTAAGGTTTTAAACTACACAAAAAGTTCACCCGTAAGCATTTATCTCTTACATTTACTCAATTTATTCATTTTTAGCAGTTTACCTAGATTACTCATTGGAACGAAGACATTAGACAAAGTTACTCATCATTCTGAATTATTTTTTCTGTTAAACTGTGAATGTCAGGTGTTCACCTAGGCAAGAACTTTAAAGTTAAACACATGGGCATTTTTGCCAATAACTCAGGAATTTTAGCTGTTTTCACTGACCTAACAATATTAAATTAGTCATACTTACCAAAAAATCACACAAATAAAGATCATTCTGTTTTTGGCTGGGTTTACAGACTTATGATCTTTAGGTCAAACCCTGACACCTTAAAATATCTAGCAGAGGCAAATGTAAAACTAATTGGTAAACTGAGACAAAAACGTATGCTGACAATTCAAGGACATTTCTATTTTTATTTTACCAATAATTTTAAAGCCAGATTATTTATTAAAGATTACTAAATTCATATGAACTTGAAAAGCATTTGGACTTTATGAGTACTCATTTATGTATAAGCCATTTGGTAGTATGCTAGGCATAACACATAATATATATACATACACATAAACACATTTAAGCATGTATCTATACACACAAACCAATATCCAACAGCTTTTACTTGGAACTCTAGCCATGAGACAACATCATAAATTTACTATTTTACAAAAGATAGTTGGATCAGGCCGGGTGCAGTGGCTCAAACCTGTAATCCCAGCACTTTGGGAGGCCGAGGCAGGAGGATCACCTGAGTTCAGGAGTTGGAGACCAGGCTGGCTAACATGGTGAAACCCCGTTTCTACTAAAAATACAAAAAAGTAGCTGGGAGTGGTGGCGCACCCCTGTAATCCCAGCTTCTCAAGAGGCTCAGGCAGGAGAATCACTTGAACTTGGGAGATGGAGGTTGCACTGAGCCGAGATCTCACCGTTGCACTCCAGCTTGGGCAACAAGAGTGAAACTCCATCTCAAAAAAAAAAAAAAGGAAAAAAAAAAAAGAAAAGCTAGATCCAAATTATTTTTCACAAAATTGAGACCTGTCCACAAGACTAGACTTTGTTTGCACTGATAGGTAATCCAATAAAGACTGTGGAACACAATTTTGGGTAAAGCAGTTTCTATAGCAGTTTGATTTTTAAAATCCTCATTTATCCACATCCCCTTTTTTCTGTGCTTCAAATGAGTTTCATTGTTTACATTTTAGTAAGAACTGGCTGTACTGTAGAGAAAAGTAAAATCTCCGAGTGGCTTTGAATTAGTGAGTTTTATTTCAACACCAATAGCTTAATAATGGCATATTTGAGTGTTGGGGTGATCAGACCCAACACCAGGTCGTGGGGGCGACAAAGTCCTGCAGAGTCACAGAAATGAGAAAAAGACAGTTTGAGAGAGAAAGTGGGACTAAGTGGCCATCACGAGTGTGGAGGCTGCGAAGGCCCTGAGCTCTGGGAGCCCACGCTATTTATTGGTGCTCAAACAAACAGGTAGTGAAGATGTGGGGGTTGAAAGGAAATGGTGTATCAAGTGAAAGAGAAACATATGGCTACTTTAGATAATGGGAGTGCTAAAAGCAAGGAGCCAGCAAGTCTAGCAGACATACAAGTCCTGTTGTCTCCCAACACTCAGCTTCTCTCCCAACATTCGAGGCTGGGCGCAGTGGCTCACACCTGTAATCTCAGCACTTTGGGAGGCCGAGGTGGGTGGATCACAAGGTCAGGAGTTCGAGACCAGCCTGGCCAATATGGTGAAACCCCATCTCTACTAAAAATACCTGGGCGTGGTGGTGGGTTCCTGTAATCCCAGCTACTCGGGAGGCTGAGGCAGGAAAAGAGCTTGAACCCGGGAGGCGGAGGCTGTAGTGAGCTGCACTCCAGCCTGGGTGACAGAGTGAGAATCTGTCTCTAAATAAATAAATAGCATATTCAAAATAAGCAGAAACAAAAATAAAGAGAGAAATAGCTTTAGGAGACTCTACTTAACTCTATAGTTGCAGCTTAACCATTTAAAATCCGCATTTTTTTTGTTGTAATTTCCCCATCAGTTAAAAAATGTGCACAAGAAAGGGCCATACATAATAGGTAACCAGCTGGAGTCCTAAAAAAGCTGGCATGCTTTGAACTTCTGCAGGTGTTTCTATCCTTTCTCTGTTTCCTGCTCTAATGATTTCTCAGGGGCCAGCCTTATTGCAACAATAGCACATTTGCTATCCTTATCCTACTTTGATATCTTAGCCTCTTGCAATATGCGCTTAGTCCCCGCCACATTTTCTGAGTATCCCTATACTTCCTCAGCAGTCCACAAAGGTTGAGCGATGGAGCAATTCCACCCCACCTGCATGTTGCCGACCACCCCAGGATTCCCCCTGCAGATGCCCTTTCCTGACTCATTGTTTGGTCTCTCAGATCCTGTTTGTGATGCCAATTGTTATGAGCAAAACTTGGGACTGTAACGTCCCCCTAAATTGGGAAGCAGCCAACAGACCAAAGAATGACTTGGACACGTACAGCTTGACAAGTAAGATGAATTTATTAGGACTTACACACAGGGTACTCCTGGATGTAGCAGGACAGCTCCAGAGATCCATGCAGCCTCCTGTCTCTAAATGGCTTTTTTTTTTTTTTTTTTTTTTTACCAAGTCTCGCTCTGTCTCCTAGGCTCGAGTATAGTGCTGCCATCTCGGCTCACTGCAGCCTCCGCCTCCTGGGTTCAAGTGATTCTCCTGCCTCAGCCTCCCGGGTAGCTGGGATTACAGGCACCCGCCACCCCATCCTGCTAATATTTGTATTTTTAGAAGAGACTGGGTTTCACTATGTTGGCCAGGCTGGTCTCGAACTCCTGGGCTCAAGCAATCCACCCACCTCGGCCTCCCAGAGTGTGGGATTACAGGCATGTGCCACCGCACCCAGCCTCTAAACTGCTTTTAAGCTTATTTTCTGGCTATTTGTCTACTGTGTTTGAGTGATGAGACTGTTTTTCTTAGTAGGTTCCTAGATACTCTCCCGGATGTTTGGGTTCTTAGGGACACCTACTCTTTGGCTGGGCACCATGGCCTTGGCTCACCACCTGGCTTTCAGGATTCAGGCAGTGGACATACATCCTTACCTAATCTGGTGGGGGATTCATCACACTACGGAAGGGAAAAGAGGAAACCCATGAGGTGAGAGGCAGCGTGCTGGGTAGTGGAGCCTCAAGGATGCTCAGGATTTGGATGCTCAGATCTGGATGTGTCCCAGGTCCCCAATGCATCTGTGCTTCCTCCAGGTACTAGAGAAGAATGAATGCCCCTTACTCTAAAGTGAGGCAACAGAAGGTGTCAATCCTTCGAGTTCAGTTGTTCACAAAGCATAGGTCCATCAGAATCATCTGGATGACTTGTTGAAACATATTGGAACATCCTTTGGGAATTTCTGATTTAGTGGACCTGGGGTAGGGCCCAAGAATTTGCAGTTCTAACAGGTTTCCAGATTATACTGATGGTGATCCATGGACCAAATTCCAGAACCTCTTACAAGAGACCCAGCTTGTCTTGTCTGAGACTTTTGTGACTCACTGAGTCTCTGAATGGGCTCAGCATTTTCTCAGGTGCATCTCTTAAACTGTATGTTTGAAGTTCGTTAGTCACATACAGCTGCTCTTTGAAACTGTCATAAGGAAGCCAACCCATCTGGTTGTCAGAGAGCAGTGTTAAATGCTCACACAAGAGGCAAGGCTGCATAGGGTTGGGCAGCTCCAGTTGCAGAAGGAAACACCAATTTAGCATGTTTGCTTTCTTGCTTTTTTTGCCTGCTTATTTTTAGCATATCTAGTTGAGAATCCAAAACAACAACAAAAAAAGACAAGACAGACCACAGACAAATGTGTACACTTTACAAGATTCTCAAGACAACAACAGCAACAAAGTTTCTGAGTTTATGAATCTAAGTAGCATTTTACTCCCAGGATCTGAAGTTCAAGTTCTGATCCCTGTGCACCCAAATTACGTCTTTCTCCTCCAGGTAGAAAGCTATCAAAATCCAGCTTTTTCCTGGGCACGCTCTTTATAGCATATGCAGCTGACTCTTCTGCTACTGGCACACTGCTATTGGATAAAAAGAAGTCTTGGCTGGGCACAGTGGCTCACACCTGTAATCCCAGCATTTTGGGAGACCAAGGCAGGTGGATCTCCTGAGGTCAGGAGTTGGAGACCAGCCTGGCCAACATGGTGAAACCCTGTCTCTACTAAAAATACAAAAATTAGCCTCGTGTGGTGTGGCAGGCGCCTGTAATCCCAGCTGCTAGGGAGGCTGAGGCAGGAGAATCGCTTGAACCTGGGAGATGGAGGTTGCTGTGAGCCGAGATTGCACCATTGCACTCCAGCCTCAGCGATAAGAGCTAGACTCCAAAGAGCGAAACTCCGTCTTTAAAAAAAAAAAAAAAAAAAAAAAAAAGTCTCAAGCGCAGAACCGTGAAAAAGCTAAAGTTGTTATACAATTGGAGAGCGAATGATTCAACATTTTGTTAATCATTGACCTTATTCTCTGTCCTACTCTAAGGAGGGCATAATGTGTGTCTCCTGCAATCGGTCATAGGAATAATGCTTAAGGTCTAAACTAGCAGAGACTTGAGTGACAAAAAACAAAGAAGGAACCTATTTGAACTGGAGAAAGAAGGTGGATGCTGCAGGATTGAGAGACTTTATGGATTTTAAAAGAAACAAAGATGGAGAGTGTCCTCAGGAAACACACACACACACACACACAGGTAGTGTAAGAGATGGATGTTGCCTTTCACCAAACTATTAAGTAGAGAAGGAGAAGCAGGAATTATGCTTGTTTGTTTGTTTTTATTTGTGGGAAGTAGGATGGTATCCAGAAGGGGATGAAGCTGTTTGGTTTTGGACAAGAATTTAAAATACTTAAAGGCAACTTCATGGAAATGTCTGATAAACATGATCTGTGGATCGGCCATTGCACTCCAGCCTTGGTGACAGAGCGAGACTCCGTCTCAAAAAAACAAACAAAAAAATAAGTTGGTAAGGATATATTTTTTTGTCCATGTTCTGTTTCAACTTATGTAGATTATTATAAATTGATGTAACCCACGTGAGAGGAAAATGTGAATATAAAAATGCAAAGCCCTAACATTTACTCACACACATACACACACATACACAAATCTTCTGAAATTTCATTATTTTCCCCTTTTCTCCCATTAAAGACAGACCTATTATTATCTAGGGACAGTGAAAATGAGAAAAGGAGAATAAAAGGGAACAAAATGGAAGAGAGGAAGCTAAGCACATATTTCTGGGTATATTTTGCAGAAGACACAGGATGCAAAGTACAAGTGGAAGAGAAAGTGGGGATGGAGCCAAAGTTGAGACAAAAAAGGGGGCAGAAATAAAAGAAGGAAAATGGAGCCAGTCAGAAATTGCCCTTCTCTGAGCAGAAGAAACTGTAGAGAATAGTTCTGAATGATAACCAGGTAAAGGAGATCAGAAATAGAGTGGGAAGCAGGTTAGGAGGCTTAACATTTTCAGGTTAGCAAGGTGAGATTTAAAAGGAGAGGAAAAAACATCTCCATGAACTCTCAGTACTTATTTTTATTTTAGAATTAGAACCCTGTGAGAAAGCTGACAATTGTATTTTAGCTCACAAAGATCTCAAACCCTAATATTGTCACTATCCAGGATCTAAACCTTTTAGCTCTCTTGTGGCCTCTCTGGAGGAAGGATTAGGACCATGAATCATGGTATCATCCACATCTGTCCTTGGGCAGTTCTAGAAGATGTCCTAAGCCCCAGGTGACCTGATTCCAATTCATTAAAAAGGTGAGCCACATATATTCTTTCAACAGTAAGTGTCCCAATGCTGATGATGAAGATGAGAAAATATCTTCCAGTAGCTTAACTTTTTTTCAGTTTCAATACTTTCAATATATCCAGTTTCAATAGTTGCATATAACTTCAAATATTTGGCTTTAATTGAAAATGTTCACCAAACTTTGAAAATGGGGAGAGAGAGTTGCACATATTATACACAATATGTATGTGTATTGCATCAAACACTTATAATGTGTCTTGTACAGGTTCCAGTTTCCAGTTATTTAAAGGGATTAAGAACTTCAAGACTGAATCTGAGTGGAGACTCTGACATATAAATACAGACTTATCCAATTGGGATCATACTGCATATGTTTTTATTATTTGCTTTATTCTCAACATTGTATTCAGAACATCTTCCCATGTTATCAAAAATTATTTTAGAACAGAGAATCCTCTTCAGTTTTTACATTTGTCCTTGTACTTGTTCATCATGGCGATATTATGTTTTGTTAATGGTTGCTGCATAGATAGGGCGCAGTGGCTGGCTCTTGTAATCCCAGCACTTTGGAAGAGACGGGTGGGTCTCTTGAGTCCAGGAGTTCCAGAGCAGCTTGGGCAGCATGGCGAGACCCCAGCTATACAAATACAAAAAAATTAGCTGGGCGTGGTGGCGCGCGCCTGTAGTCCCAGCTACTCAGGAGGCTGAGGTGGGAGGATCCCTTTAGCCCAGGAGGTCGAGGCTGCAGTGAGCCGTTATAGCGTCACTGCACTCCAGCCTGGGTGACAGAGTGAGACCCTGTCTCAAAAATAATAGGCTGGGCGCAGTGGCTCACGCGGTAATCCCAGCACTTTGGGAAGCCGAGGAGGGCGGATCACTTGCAGTCAGGAGTTCCAGACCAGCCATGGCCCAACATGGTGAAATCCCGTCTTTACTAAAAATGCAAAAATTAGCCGGGTGTGGTGGCGCATGCCTGTAGTCTCAGCCATTCGTGAGGTTGAGGCAAGAGAATTGCTTCCTGGAGGCGGAGGTTGCAGTGAGCCCAGATCGTGCCACTGTGCACTCCAGCTTGGGTGACAGAGCAAGACTCTGTCTCAAAAACAAAACAACAACAACAACAAAATAATAATAATAATTGCTGTATCTTTAGGCAATCTTTGCAGTTTTTGCAGTAGATGTTAAGCTACCTTTCTAAAATGCAGTGGGACATTTTGTTGTTTTTGTGTTCTGCAACAGTTTATGTAAACCTGTATTGGAATGACAAGAAGTACGATATTATTCCAAATCTTGTACTCATGCTAGTTCATATCCTATGCCACTCTGTGGTCTCTTCCTCATCAATGTCCCTTCCTCATCGATGTCCCTGGGTTCCTGAGCAAAGCCTAAAGTAAGACACTCTAAAAATTTTGACTGAATATTCGGCAATAATTTGAGCTTGGTCTTAACCCCAAAGAAAATACTATAGAAGAAAACACTAGGAAAAATAGAAGTTGATGGGATTCTTTGTTGACGAGTGTAGTGTTCAGGAAGGGAGAGATTTTGCTCGGATTTCATTGTGTTAGAATAACATGTCATTTTCAAGGAACCAAAATCATACTGTGTAATGGACAGACCGGTGTTATAGTTCTACTTAAGGGTTGGACGTTTCACATCTTTCCTATCCCATCCACACTTTTGGTGACTGTGGGGTTCCCCCCAAACACCCTATTGTTCTGTGCATTAATCCACAGCGAGCTGGTGACGCGTTTTTGTCAAGACCAAATCAAACTTGGGAAGTCTTCAAGTCAGGAATGGAAGTCACTAAGCTCCATGTAAATAAACAGTATATGTGAACTGAATAACCTACTTTGTTCCGGCCTTACGCCAACCCTGCACTTCCAACAGAACCATCTTTGAAGTTTCCTGGCCATCACTGCCCCGCTTCCAGCGTCGCCATCATTCCTTTCACACACCCCACTTGCCGAAAGTACGTTCTGTGCGCTCTCTCACCCTCCTCTTGATTGTTTTCCCTAAGGGGTGCAGCATCAGTTCAGAACTGAAAATCTCCCTATCCCACTTCTCGAAGCCATTAATCAGAGATTTCAACAGGGTTCACCGCTGATGACCCATCTAACTGCTCGTCCTCTCACAGTTTCTGACAACTGTGTATTAGTATTTGCAAGTTTTGGAAGGTGTTGTAAATAGTTTTTAACTGTTAGTGAATTTTAATTTCAAACGAGGAACTTTTTATTAAGCTGGATCTTTGAAGTCAGCACTTAAAAAGCCCCCTTCCCCACCATGTTACATTCCCTTTGTGTGCTATATAAGCATCTGTCTTCGGCGGTTGGCCGCGTGGCCTAATGGATAAGGCGTCTGATTCCGGATCAGAAGATTGAGGGTTCGAGTCCCTTCGTGGTCGTCGTTTTGCGTTCTCTGGTTCGAAAGATATTTGTTGATTCAGAGCATTTTCCCTTTTCTTGCTCCGGTCTGGCTGCCAATTAACAACTAAAGGTAGAAGTCTTATTTAACGAGTATATACGGTGTGCCTGCCCTGTGACAACTGCTTTATAAAAGAACAAAGCAGAAATAGCACTTGGCCTCAAAGAGCTTACTTTCTACTGGATCTAACAGTTGAAATCAAGCAAACGCTGGGAAGAAAAAAAAAATTGTTTCCACTCCTGTGAAAAAAAGAAGTACGAGGATAAAATAAAAAAATAAGGGATGGGGACTTCTTTAGGAAGCATCCACCCTCCTGGAGGTCCTGAAGAAATGCTATTTAGCTGAAAAATGAGTATTTTTCAGGCAGAAGGAATAGCATTTGTTAATTCACTGAGAATCTGAAATCACTAAGTATTTTCAAAGTTCAGGTTGCTGAACTCTTGTGTGTATGTGTATGGAGCTGGGGGTGGGTGGGGGCGGGGGAAGGAGTGGAAATCACTACAGAGAAAAATCAACAAAAAGGGATAAAGGGAATTAAATTTCTGGGAACAAGATCTCTCACAGAGATTCTCTATGGCTGAGACTCTGAACATGGTTTAAAATTAGTGTTCTCCAGATTTTCACTAACTACCAAAAAAGGTAACTGTCATCACCTGGCAAATCGTCATCACTTAAGCCTAAAGGCAGAAACCACCAAAAGCTTTAATCCAAACTGAGCTGTCCTCTAGTGCAACCTGTATTAGAGTAGTCATGATAGGTTGAATTTTTGCAAGTGGGCCAATGCCATAAATTGATCTGAACATTACTGCAAAGAAAGCACAGTGAGAGCAGGATCAAGCAAGTTTTCATCATTTTTAATTGAGCTCCAGTCGCTTCTTGAGGAAAAGAAAGCTAAAATTGATTCTCAAGAACATTTGTTTCTGTGAGAATATGTGGTAACTGAATAAGAATTCTTTAAAAAGAAACAACGCAATTCCCAGATTTAACACCAACGCCAGTTAACATTTACCGAATGCATACACTGTAGCTGCACTATTCCAACTATGAGAAATATATTAATAGTCTTCTTTTACAGATGTAGAAACTGACACCTAAAAGGGTATAACACATTGCCCAACACAACTAGTAAAGGGTAAAGCTGGAAACTTAACCAAAATATTAAGTTATTTCTGGAGCACAAGTCTCAATGTTTAGAACAAATTTTTATTGTTTAATGGCACGATGCAGTGTGGTAAAATATATATAACATAAAATGTCACTTTAACTTTTTTTTTTTTTTTGAGACAGAGTTTTGCTTTGTCGCCAGGCTGGAGTGCAGTGGCGCGATCTGGGCTATCTCGGCTCATTGCAACCTCTGCCTCCCGGGTTCAAGCGATTCTCCTGCCTCAGTCTCCCGAGTAGCTGCGAGTACAGGCGCATGCCACCACGCCCAGCTAATTTTTTCTACTTTTAGTAGAGACGGGGTTTCACTGTGTTAGCCAGGATGGTCTCCATCTCCTGACCTCGTGATCCACCCGCCTCGGCCTCCCAAAGTGCTGGGATTACAGGCGTGAGCCACCGCACCCAGCCCTTGTTTTGGCATTTTAAAGAGACAGGGTCTCATTCTCACTGCAGTCTTGAACTCCTGGGCTCAAAGAATCCTCCTGCCTCAGCCTCCCGTGTAACTTAAACTACAGTCATGTGTCACAACACCTGGCTAATTTTTAATTTTTTGTAGAGATGTGGGGGGCAGCATGGACTCACCATGTTACTCAAGCTGGTTTTGAACTCCTGGTCTCAAGCAATCCTCCTGCCTTGACTTCCCAAAGTCCTTGGATTACAGGCATGAGCCTCAGCCCCTCACCTTTTGTCTTTTTGAAATCGCCTATTCTAGATATTTCATATAAGTGGAGTTATACAGTACTTGTGTCCTTTCATACCTAGCCTATTTCATCACTAAGCAAAATGTTTTCAAGTTTCATCCATCTCACAGCATATACCAGCATATATCCCATATTGTATGTATATTCATTTTTTAAAATTTCTTATATTTTGATGCCTATTCTGCTTACGCAGTTTTATTTTTGTTATTTTGCTTATCTGCTCATCTGTTGATGGCTGGATTCTCCTTCTAGCTATTATGAATGATGCTGCAAAGAACATTGGATTACAAGGATCTGTTTGAGTCTCTGCTTTCAATTCTTTTGGGTATACACCTAGAATTGCTAAGTCATATGCTACACCCATGTTTAGCTTTTTAAGGGAACCACCAAACCGGTTTCCACAGTGGCTTTATCATTTTACATTCTCACCAACAATGCATGAAAGTTCCAGTTTATCCACATCTTCACCAACACTTTTTCATTGGCCATTTTCCTGATTATAGCCATCCAAGAAAGTTGGAAATGGTACCCTACTTTGGTTTTGATTTGCATTTCCCCTAGTGAATAAACACAGAGTACTTTCCAAGTGCTTATTGCCTATTTACATATTTTGTTTGGAGAGGTGTCTATTTGAGTTCTTTGTGCATTTAAACTGAGTTGCCTTGTTGATTTTCAGTTCTAAGGTTTGGTTTTTGTTTTTTTGGATATATCTGGATGTTAGACCCTTATCAAACATGTAATTTCCAAGACATTTTCACCAATTCTATGTGCTCTTTTAACACTGCCTAACGTCCTTTGATGCACAAAAGTTTCTTTTGATTAAATTCCATTTATCATCTATTTGTTGTCTTTCAGATGGAGCTGTCACCCAGGCTGGAATGCAGTGGCATGATCTAAGCTCACTGCAGCCTCTACCTCCAGGTTCAAATAATTTTTCTGCCTCAGCCTGGTGTCCAGAATTGGTGGGTTCTTGGTTTCACTGACTTCAAACATGAAGCTGCAGACCCTCGTGATGTTATTTTTTAAAGACAGTGTGGCTGGAGTTTGTTCTTTCTGATGTTCACCCATGTTCTGAGTTTCTTCCCGCTGGTGGGTTCCTGGTCTGGCTGGCTTACAAGGAGCGAAACATGCAGACCTTCAGCATAAGTGTTGCAACTCTTAAGATGATATGTCTGAAGTTGTTCATTTCTCCTGATGCGCTCATGGTTCTTGCCGGTCTCAGGAGTGAAACCGCAAATCTTCACGGTAAGTGTTACAGCTCACACAGGAAATACAAACCTCAAAAAGCAAGCAGCAGCAAAATTTATTACAAAGAACATAAAGAACAAGGTTTCCACAACAGAGAGATCGACTCCGAGTAGGTTATCGTGGCTGCTCCGCGCAGCCTGCTTTTATTGCCTTATCTGGCCCCACCCACATTCTGCTGATTGGTCCATTTTACAGAGAGCTGATTGGTCTGTTTTACAAAGAACTGATTAGTCTGTTTTGACAGGGTGCTGATTGGTGTGTTTACAGTCCCTGAGCTAGACACAGAGTGCTGATTGGTGCATTTACAATCCTTTAGCTAGACATAAAGGTTCTCCAGGTCCCCACTAGAGTTGCTAGATTCAGAGTGCTGATTGGTGTATCCACAAACCCAGAGCTAGACACAGAGTGCTGACTGGCACATATACAATCCTCTAGCTAGCCATAAAAGTTGTCCAAGTCCGCACCCGCCTCAAGAGCCCAGCTGGCTTTGCCTAGTGGATCCCGCACTGGGGCCACGGGCGGAGCTGCCCGCCAGTCCCGTGCCACGCACCTGCACTCCTCAGCCCTTGGGCGGTCGATGGGACCGGGCGCCGCGGAGCAGGGGGCGGCGCCCATCAGGGAGACTTGGACCGCAAGGGAGCCCACGGGTGGGAGGGTCGGGGGCGGGCTGGGGCATGGCGAACTGCAGGTCCCGTGCCCTGCCCCATGAGGAGGCGGCTGAGGCCCGGCGAGAATTCGACCGCAGCGCGGGCGGACGGGCAGTGCTGGGGGACCTGGCGCCCCCTCCGCAGCTGCTGGCTCAGATGATAAGCTCCTCACTACCCGCGCTCAAGACACCAATCCGCACTAGCTCATGGTTTGTGGATGCACCAATCAGCACTCTATCTAGCTAACCTGGTGGGGACTTGGAGAATCTTTAGGTAAGGAGTGTGAATACACCAATCGGCACTCTGTATCTAGCTAACCTGGTGGGGACTTGGAGAATCTTTATGTCTTGTAGCTAAGGGTTTGTGAATGCACCTAATCAGCACTCTGTATCTAGCTCAAGGTTTGTAAACACACCAATCAGCACCTTGTGTCTAGTTCAGGGTTTATGAATGCACCAGTCAGCACTCTGTAACTAGTTAACCTGGTGGGGACTTGGAGAATGTTTATGTCTAGCTAAGGGATTGTAAATACACCAGTCAGTACCCTGTATTTAGCTCAAGGTTTGTAAATACACTTTGCGTCTAGCTCAGGGTTTGTAAATACACCAATCACACTCTGTATCTAGCTAATCTAGTGGGGACTTGGAGAACTTCTGCGTCTCGCTCAGGGATTGTAAACGCACCAATCAGTACCCTGCCAAAACGGACCAATCAGCTCTCTGTAAAATGGACCAATCAGCAGGATGTGGGTGGGGCCAGATAAGAGTATAAAAGCAGGCTGCCTGAACGGTGGTGGCTGTTTGGTTAATGCTTTCTCCACGTTGTGGAAGGTTTGTTTTTTTTGCTGTTTGCAATGATTCCTGCTGCTGCTCGGTTTTTGCATGCGCATTGCCTTTGTGGGCTGTGATAATTGCTGTGAAAGTCTGCAGTTTCATTCCTGAAGCCAAGGAGACCATAAACTCACTGAGAGGAACCAATGACTCCAGACACACCGTCTTAAGAGCTGTAACAGTTACTGCCAAGATTGGTAGCTTTCCCGAGTCAGCGAAACCACAAACCCACCTGAATGGAATGAAACTCTGAACATATGCAAACATCAGAATGAACAAATTCCCCACACACTGCTCTTCAGAACTGCCACACTCACGGCCAGGGTCCATGGCTTCATTCTTGAAGTCAGTGAGATCAAGAACCCACCAATTCCTTGGCACATTAGGATCACAGGTGTTGAGCCACGGTTCCTGGATGCGTGGAGATTTCTAATGGTTGTACCTGTTGTATTTATGCTACATACTACAACATATATGTATACTATAATGTTTATAATGCCTGAACCCCACCCATAAAAATGAACATGCCATAACCTGGTCATTGTGAGAACCATAAGTGTACCCAAATACATCGTAGTAGGTAGCAATGCCCTGGCTAAAGACTACTGCGTGTTAGTACAGGTAAAGAATTAGCACAGATAAATTTTATTCAGTGCCCAAATAAAGTATTTTAAGGCTCAAGTGGGGCCAGGCACGGTAGCTAACACCTGTAATCCCAGCACTTTAGGAGGCCGAGGCGGGTGGATCACGGGGCCAGGAGATCATGACTATCCTGGCTAACACGGTGAAACCCCATCTCTACTAAAAATAAAAAAATTAACTGGGTGTAGTGGTGGGCGCCTGTAGTCCCAGTCCCAGCTGCTTGGGAGACTGAGGCAGGGAGGGGAAGGTTGCAATGAGCTGAAATCTCGCCATTGCACTCCAGCCTGGGCAACAGCGAGACTCCATCTCAAAAAAAAAAAAAAAAAAAAACTCAAGTGTTGTACTCCATAGTTTCCCTTTAATGAAAAGCTGATTGCTTTTTTGAAGAGAACTTCGTATTTTTTATCTCAGAGTTTCCTTTTAAAAGAAGCAGGCCAGGCGCGGTGGCTCACGCCTGTAATCCCAGCACTTAGAGGCTGAGGCAGGTGGATCACGAGGTCAGGAGTTCAAGACCAGCCTGGCCAAGATGGTGAAACCCCGTCTCTACTAAAAATACAAAAAATTAGCCTGGCATGGTGGCACGCGCCTGTAATCCCAGCTACTCCGGAGGCGGAGAATTGCTTAAACCTGGAGGGGCGGAGCTTGCAGTGAGCCGAGATCGCACCACTGCACTCCAGCCTGGGTGACAGAGCGAAACTCCGTCGCAAAATAAATAAATAAATAAAAAAGAAGCATATGTTAGTTTGTTTCCACAGTAAGTGAAGACAGGCCATGTCACAAAAAGACGGGGAACAACACTGGACTGTAGCTCGTAGACAAAGGAAACCTTGAGAAGTTTAACACTGTATCATAGTTTTAGACAGAACACAATAATTACATTGTTAGAACAAAGTACTTAAAGAACTGATGTTACTTTTTTTTTCTTTATTTAAGAGCATAACTTAACAATAGTCCCACTTGGTCAGGCCTATGATCCCCCCAGTCTATTACTGTATGATTCTGAAGCTGTGGGAGGAAGCAATGCCCTCCTACATATCAACTCATGAATTACATATACATCTTCAAAAGATCAGAGATTTCCATTTTAGCCATCTCGTCAATATTTCTACATAAGTTTAAAATACTTTTGTTTTCACTTTATGCCACTTCTTAAAACTGAATTTCAGCAAGTACACTATATAAGTCCAGGATTTAATTCTATTTATTTTAATTTAACTCATTTCAATAAACATTTATGGAATGCAAATGCCAATCACTATGCCAGCTACATGCATACAAAGATGAGGAAGAACCATCTGGTTCCCTTTCTCTCAATTTGTACCAACATCACTAGATCTGTGTGACAGTCTGGGAATAGGACTACACATAGTGGTCCAGGTTTTGAACAGAGACAAGAAAACAATTTATTTCTTTTTTAATTTTTATTTTAGTTTTAGTTTTAGTTTTTTGAGGAGGGGTCTCACTCTGTTGCCCAGGCTGGAGTGCAGTGGCATGAACACAGCTCACTGCAACCTATTCCTCCTGGGCTCAAGTGATTCTCCCACCTCAGCCTCCCAAGTAGCCAGGATTACAGGCCTGCACCACCACGCCTAGCTAATTTATTTTTTGTAGAGACAAGGGTCTCACTATGTTGCCCAGGCTGGTCTCGAACTCTTCGACTCAAGTGATCCTCCTGCCTCAGCCTCTCAAAATGCTGTGATTACAGGTGTGAACCACTGCACCCAGCCGACAATTGATGTCTTAATACCTTTCAACTGATACCCAGTATTTTATAAGCTTTATTGGATATAGTGAGCATCTTTTCCTGAAAGAGAGAGCAGGGAATCACAAATATTACAAAGCTCTGTTTTCACAAAGGAAGTCTCAGGAGTGAGTGACCATTTCGCCTACCCTCTGAATATCAAAGTTTTCAAACATCTACAGGCTCACACAAAATACTCTTCATTTCCCATCTAAGAGTCGGGAACTTAGAAGTGGTCACTGGGTGAGACTGACCCTTTCCTTAAGGAGGATAATGACTGAAAACACATTTATTTCTGCTAAAACAAGTTCTAGCCAACCCATTTCCTGGGCATGCTCTTGACAAATTTACTAATGTTAAGTGAGGCAAGAAGCTGCCATTCAAACATTTCAAAATTGTTATATTCAAAATATTTCCCTTCTATATCTACTCTCTAAAGGTCAATTACTAGAGAAACACAAAGTTTTACACACATTCATCAGAGGTATATATCTTTTTTCTCTGATATGGGTTTTCTTTTTAATGTCTAAAAAGGTTCTGATGGGAAATAAGACCTTCATTTTGAGTAAAGCATTTTCCATATTCAGGGCAATGAGGAAGTCTTTCCCCTGTATGAATGTTGGGATAGTTAATGAAGTGTGAGCTCTCAATGCAGACTTCCCCAAATACTTTACTTTTATAAGACTTCTCTCTTGTGTGCAGTCTCTCATACGATGTCAGGCCTCCATTGTGACTAAAGCTTTCTCCACATTCCTTAAAGTGATAAGGTTTCTCTCAGTGTGTACTCTATGATGCTTAAGAAAGAGTGGGCTCTGATTAAAAGCTTTCCCATGCATAAGATATTTGTAGGGTTTCTCTCCAGTATGTATTCTCTGATGTTTGAGATGGTCAGAATTCTGAAGGTCTTATTGCATACATTACGCTTGTGGATTTCCCTCCAGTATGAAGCCTCTGATGTTTACTAAGATCTGAGCTCCAAATGAAAGTCTTGCCACACTGATCACATTCATAGTGTCTGTGAAAATACAGCTTCTATAATGCAGGCTTTCACGGTGAAGGCCCTTCTATGCTCATCACACTTATAAGGGTTCTCCCCAGTGTGGATCTTCTGGAGATAGAGGCTAGTGTTCCCACTGAAGGCTTGCCACAAACTTTGTATTTACAGGGTCTCTCTTCAGTGTGGATCCTTTGCTGTTGAATAAGATTTGATTTCTTAGTGAAGAACTGTCTACATTCATCACTTTTACAACCCCTCTTTCCCATAAGTATTTTGTTCAGTACAGTTTTCATGACTTCTCTATGATCTCTTTTTCCTGGGGTGAAAATGTTCTCTGTCTCACCAACAAAGGATTTTCTTAGTGCCTCTCATACCTGCCCTCAGGGTCACAAATGTTTTCAATTGCAGGATTTAAGGGATCATCACTTTTCCATCTTCCCAGGAACAGTGAGTGAGATGCTACTTCTTCAGTACTTTTTGGAACCCTGAAGTCATGCTTAGCTTTCTAAACCTATACTCAGTCCAGGCATGGTGGCTCATACCTGTAATCCCAGCATTTTGGGAGGCTGAGGTAGGAGGATCACTTGAACCCAGGAGTTTGAGACCAAGCTAGGCAACATCATGAGACCCCATCTCTAAAAAAAAAAAAAAAAAAAAAAAAGCTGCTCATGGTGGTGTGTACCTGTAGTCCCAGCTACTCAGGAGGCTGAGATGGGAGGATTGCTTGAACCAAGAGGTCAAGGCTGCAGTGATTGTGCTATTGCACTCCAGCCTGTGCAACAGAGCAAGACTCTGTCTCAAAAATAATAAATAAACCTACACTCACCTTCTGAAATAAAACAACAAAAAATTATTTAAATTTCACTGCTAAATAAGAGCAGTAAGTTCTATTTCCCTTTCCTTCAACAGATTTGCAAATTTAGCTGTAAATGAAGGATTTGAACACACACAAATTCACACTAAACTCTAGTTTCAGTGTTTCCTATCTTGTTGGCTATATGACCTTAGGCAAGTCACATAACTTTGTGCATCTGTATCTTTGCCTACAAAACATGGACAACAGTTGCAACCTCAAAGGGTTATGAAAGCACACAAAACTGTGTCTGACACACTGTAAGCATTATTAAGTGTGAGTTGCTATTGTTACCATTGTTGTCACATCTCAGTATCCCAACATGTTGCTTATCTTAAATTGAAAAGGATTAAGAAATGTTACTTGCTATTTCTACAAATTCTTTCTTGGTTATTAAAATGTCATGTAAGTAGCTTTGTAGCAAGTCTTGTGTATAGTAGTTCCTTGCTATATACCTGGTATAAAGACGAATAAGATGCCCTCTTGAAGGCCACAACCTAGAGATGTCCTTCAGTTACAAGGCAGTGTGGTAAATACTATAAGAGTGAAGCATAAGAGCTTTGGGAGTGCAAAGAAGGAAACATCTAACTGCCTGAGAGAATCAAACAGAAAGTTTTGCAGCGGAATGGTTGATTGGCGTATCTTAAAACATAAATACAAATAGTCAGAAAAAGGGAAGGCAGTAAAAGCTTTCTAGATGGAAAGTATATACATACAAAGTTATTAAGGCACTTTTAAAATGGTACTTTCAGACAGTTGAGAACAGTTTGGTCTAGCTAGAACACAGATTGAATATGAAGGCGAAAGGAGATAAAGCTGAAAATGTAAGCTACATCATGAACAGTCTTGTTGCCAGGATAATGAATTGAACCATTAACAGATGCTAAGAATGTGTGTAGGCCAGGCACGGTGGCTCACGCCTGTAATCCCACCACTTTGGGAGGCTGACGCTGGTGGATCACGAGGTCAGGAGATCTAGACCATCCTGGCTAACACAGTGAAACCCTGTCTCTACTAAAAATACAAAAAATTAGCCCGGCGTGGTGGCAGGCGCCTGTAGTCCCAGCTACTCAGGAGGCTGAGGCAGGAGAATGGCGTGAACCCAGGAGGCGGAGCTTGCAGTGAGCCGAGATCGCCTCACTGCACTCCAGCCTGGTGACAGAGCGAGAATCCGTCTCAAAAAAAAAAAAAGAAGGTGTGTGTAATATTAGCTTTCAGTTTTATGCAAGTCACTATAGTGACAGTGTGAAAGATGGTCTTCAAGGAGAAAATGGACAAGACTGGCCGGGCACGGTGGCTCACGCCTGTAATCCCAGCCCTTTGGAGGCCAAGGCAGACAAATCTCTTGCGGTCAGGAGCTCAAGACAGGCCTGGCCAACATTGTGAAAACCCGTCTCTACTAAAAATACAAAAATTAGCCGGGCGTGGTGGCACGGGCCTCCCAGCTACTCGGAAGACAGGCAGGAGAATCGTTTGAACCGGGGAGGCAGAGGTTGCAGAAAGCCGAGATCGCGCCACTGCACTCCTGGGATTGATTGATTGATTGATTGATTGATTTAGACAAAAGGTCTCTGTTGCCTAGGCTGGAGTGCACTGGTGTGATCTCGGCTCACAGCAACTTACACCTCCCGGGTTTAAGTGATTCTCCCACCTTCGCCCCCTCGAGTAGCTGGGACTACAGGCACGCACCGCTACACCCAGCTAATTTTTGTATTTTCTGGTAGGGACAGGGTTTCACCATGTTGGCCAGGCTGGTCTCGAACTCCTGAGCTCAAGTGATTCGCCCACCTCAGCCTCCCAAAGTGGTGATCCTGGGTTTTAACCAGAATAGAGGACATACCACTACCCACTTATTGAACATATTCTAAATAAGTTTTCTTATCCTAAAATATTTTATATTCCAATATTGGAATCGCCTGAGTCCAGGGTGGTCAAGGCTGCAGTGAGCTATGATTGTGCTACTGCACTCCAGCCTGAGTGACAGAGTGAGACCCTGTATAAAAAGGAAGGAAGGAAGGAAGGAAGGAAGGAAGGAAGGAAAAGAAAAAAAATTATAGAAAATAGATTGTCGGTTGCCTGCAGGTTGGGGGAGGCTGAGAGATGGGGAGTGACTGCTAAGGAGTATTTTTTTTTACCTTGAGGTGATAAAAATGTTCTAACACTGATGGTGATAATGTTTGCACAACTCTGAATATTCTAAAAGTGATTGAATTGAATTGAATGGTGTGTAAATTATATCTCAATAAAGCTGGTAAAAATTTAGTGATTCAATAAAATCCTTTATTTGGTCAATGTACGGTATTCTGTCAGTTGAGACAAAAGTTAACATTCGAATTTAGATTTAGATTTTATATCTTCAGCTTCTTCTATCTAGAAAAGGCATTCACTAGTAATTATTAGGATGATTGTGCATTGTTATGTACAGATAACCGCAGTGACTTATCTGATAGTCCTTTAACAGACAGGAGTACTAGTGTAGTTACTTTGTTTTTATGTAACTAGGTAGGTCTTATGTAATGTCTTATTTGTCTGAATGAAAGATTATTGTGTCTTTAGCAGAGGAAAAGAGATAATCTCTCCGCACTGAAGATTATTTTAATGAGTAGTATAAGTAATGATATACACAAAATGGGAAATTATCTTGGCCTTAATGAACCATGTATTCTACATATAGAGTATAGAATACATGGCTTCTGTAAATAAAAGTTTCCAGTATTGGAATATAAAAAAATTTAGGATAAGAAAACTTATTTAGAATACATTCGATAAGTGGGTAGTGGTATGTCCCCTATTCTGCTTAAAACCCAGGATCACCACTTTGGGAGGCTGAGGTGGGCGAATCACTCAAGGTCAGGAGTTCGAGACCAGCCTCGTCAACATGGTGAAACCCTGTCTCTACTAAAAAATATAAAAATTAGCCAGGTGTGGTGGTGCACGCTTGTAGTCCCAGCTACTCGGGAGTCTGAGGCAGGAGAATCCTTTGAACCTGCGAGGCAGTGGTTGCAGTGAGCCAAGACAGCGCCATTGAACTTTAGCCTGGGTGATACAGCAAGACTCTGTCTCAAGAAAGAAAGAGAGAGAGAGAGAGAGAAAGAGAGACAGAAGGAAGAAAGGAGAGAAGGAAGGGAGGGAAAGAGAGAGAGAAAGAAGGAAGAAAGGAAGGAAAGAAGGAAGGAAGGAAGGAAAGAAACGCAATTTAATTCAGTTCAACTGCAGTTGAGCATTTGTGGGGGTGGGGGCGGGGTTGGGGTGAGGGGTTGGAGACAAGCCCAGGCTGGTCTTGAACTCCTCGCCTCATGTGATCCTCCCTCCTCAGCCTCACCCAAGTGCTGGGATTATAGGTGTAAACCACCGTGCCCAGCAGGACAGTCAAGAAAATTGAAACTGGAAAGTACCTTGGCCTTTTACCCCAAATCTACACAATTTTACACAGTGGCAGTGCTTTTTCCTCTAACGCTATAATAGAATTCTGCAGGAGAATTCTTTCAGGGAGTTCACCTTTTGTTTTATTAGAGAGCTAAGTAACCTTGGGAGGTTGGGCTGACTTTGGAAGCTTCTGGAAATAAATGGGGGTTTAACAGATATTAACTTCATCCCGCCTTACAGATAAATGCCATTTTACTTTGAAAAGCAGTAGGTGGGGGTAGGGGGCGAGAAATAGAAAATTCCATCAGTTTGGTGAAAGCTTTTAGAGGATAACGTACTCTGTTCCATGAAAGAATCAGAAATGTGAGCAATGCAGGGAGAAGTAAGGTAAATCCAGACAAGCAGGATGGATTCCAGATGAGAAACCATATCTTCCATAGTGAATTTTGAAATGAATTTAAAATCTCCTATTATATAATCTGCAGTTTACTTTGTTTTCTTGTTGGAGAAAGTGGTTTTTGGAGTCCAAGTATGCAGAGGGCACCTAGGATTCCAGAGTTAATGGGACTGAAGAGAAAAAAGCGTAACCTGACCCAGATTCTGCTGCTCACCGCTCCAAAGCCAAATGCTAGAGGGGAGGTTTGGTGGGAGGAAAAGCTGCTTTTAATCCGAAAGCCAGCAAACTGAGAAGATGGAACACTAGTGTTCTAAAGTACCACCTTAAAATTTAAAATTTACCATACGGTTTTTGTGTTTTTGTTTTTTTGTTTTTTGTTTTTTCCTGTGACAGAGTCTCACTCTGTTGCCCAGGCTGGAGTGCAGTGGTGCAATCTTGGCTCACTGCAACCTCCACCTCCCGGGTTCAAGTGATTTTCCTGCCTCAGCCTCCTGAGTAGCTGGGATTACAGGCATCTGCCACCACACTCAGCTAATTTTTGTGTTTTTAGTAGAGACAGGGTTTCACCATGTTGGCCAGGCTGGTCTCGAACTCCTGACCTCAAGTGATCCACCTGCCTCGGCCTCCCAAAGTGCTGGGATTACAGGCGTGAGCCACCACTCCGGGCCTACCATAGGGTTTTTTTTATTTATTTATTTATTTATTTATTTATTTATTTATTTATTATTTTTTTTGAGACGGAGTCTCACTCTGTTGCCCAGGCTGGAGTGCAGCGGGCAATGTCGGCTCACTGCAAGCTCCGCCTCCCGGGTTTAGGCGATTCTTCTACCTCAGCCTCCCGAGTAGCTGGGACTACAAGCACCCACCACCACACCCGGCTAATTTTTTGTATTTTTTAATATTTTTAGTAGAGACGGGGTTTCACTGTGTTAGCCAAGATGGTCTCAATCTCCTGACCTCGTGATCCGCCCGCCTCGGCCTCCCAAAGTGCTGGGATTACAGGCCTGAGCCACTGCACCCGGCCAGCAATATTTCTTCTGTAAAAGAAAAGAATAAGTGTTCCACATGGAAAGAACCCAAGATATATTAAGTGAAAAATGTCATAGCATGACTACATTTCTGTTAAAAAAAAAAAAACAAAATGTTATATATATATGCGAATGCAGAGAAAAAAGAAATGTAAAAAATACAATAAATTTTTCACGGTGATTACATTTGCGAGAGGAACGTACAGCTTTCATATTTCATTCAATGGTTAAAATGGTACTCAATTTTGACTGACAAAACGGTAATGATCAGATGCCAAAACGAGTGTGAATGTGCATAATTTACGAAAGACATTTTTGAGAACTGGTTACATGAGTTTTGAAAATAGGAGAGCAGAGGACCTGTGTAAGATTTTTAAAGAGACTGCACTGTCACGAGCCACAGGGTTGTGAGATTGGTAGGAAAGTGCTCCAGGAAATATCTAGGGGAGGGCTTGGATCTGAGACACAGAGTGTGAGCCTGGTCGAGAAGCGGGAAAAGAACCCGCCCGGAGCCCCTTCTCTCCATTCCCTCGGCGAGGCAGGAAGCTATCTGCGTTCCGAATCCCGCGACATCAGGATTATCTCGCACTGCAGCACAGAGACCAATCACTAGTAACCTCTGCCTTTAATTAGGCGTTTTTTGGCCCAAATCTCGCGGCTTCGTAAAAATATCGCGATGCTTCCGCTTTTAATGTTTTTAGTTTGGACAAGCCCTTTGAGATAAATTTAAAAGCCAATTATTTTTTTTTTTTTTTTTTTGAGACGGAGTGTCGCTCTGTCCCCAGGCTGGAGTGCAGTGGCGCGATCTTGGCTCACTGCACGCTCCGCCTCCCGGGTTCACGCCATTCTCCTGCCTCATTCCCGAGTAGCTGGGACTACAGGCGCCCGCCACCACGCCCAGCTATTTTTTTTGTATTTTTAGTAGAGACGAGGTTTCACCGTGTTAGCCAGAATGGTCTCGATCTCCTGACCTCGTGATCCACCCGTCTCGGCCTCCCAAAGTGCTAGGATTACAGGCGTGAGCCACCGCGCCCGGTACCTAAAAGCCGATTCTTAAAAATATACGTTGGTAATTGTTTATGCCTACTGCTGAGATCAGGATATCTCTAAAGTAAGGAGAGGAAAAAGAAAAGTATGTGTCAGAAGTGGGATTCGAACCCACGCCTCCATTGGAGACCAGAATCCCCACCGCGGAGGAAGCTTAGCTTGAGTCTGGCGCCTTAGACCACTCGGCCATCCTGACACACTGCATAACAGCCCTGATTTTTGCACTAAAATAGAGATCAACAAGCAATGATTCTGTGTCGTGCACGCACGCAGAAACGCGATGACGTCAGGGTTGCTTGGTAACAGAAGGGCAGAAAGCCACTTGTGGATTGAAAAAGCAAAAGGGTTCGCAGGACTAGAAAATGTTTCTGCATAAAACTGGATCAAGTCTCTTACGGGCCTTATAACTGTTATCGCCATCTCGAAAAACGTGTGCGGGTTTTTTTTTTTTTTTTTTGCTCCCAGCCTGCCCAGATTTCAGGAAGGAAAGAAGATCTTTTGCTTCTTCGGTCGCTGGGTCGGCTCTCCAGTGTCTGATGTTTACTGAAATCTTGATCGTGGTTAGCCTCCCCCAGGACTTCATTGTTTGGAAGATGGTGAGGAACAAAACAAAACCCTAACAAAAGACCCCGGTTCTATAGGAAGGTCCCCTTTTAGCCCCTCTATTTTGGTTCCATTTGTCACTGCCTTGCCACTCGTCGAAGTTTGTCTTGGGCTCTAAAAGTGGTAGCCGGGAACGGCTGGGAAGGTCTCCACAGGGACCACCACATGGGCAAGGCTGGTGTCCGCGCCGAGGGATCGGCGATCCCAGGTCCGGGGAAACTCCGGGAGCGACGCGCTCGCCCGCGGCCTTCCTTGTCGCTCTCGGATGTTCCCGATTAATGGGCTCCAAGTGACCACTGCCAGGTCGGGGAACACAGCGGTAGTTTTTAAGGGGAGTGCACCACATCGCCTGATCCACTTTTCTGTTTCTCAGCCTTCGCCAAGCAATCTGAGCTCCAGGCCGGGAAGCCCCAAGGTCACAAATTTTAATGGAGCCCTGAAACTAAACAGAAATCATCCCTCCCACTAGAACAAGAGCCCCTAGAGGCCAGCGACACCGCTAAAATAACATGTGTAGACCAATGCCGTCCAGGTAACAGTGCCTGGCAAACACGGTAGAGGTTCAATAAATACATTTTAACTCAACCGTCTTAACTCTTGTATTTGGGGCTGTGAGGTTCAGATAGAGGAAATATAAAGTTGGATATTTTAATTAGATTTTGTCCTAATAGCTTACTTTTTGTATTTGTTAATATAAAAAAAATTTCCTTTTTGTAAGGCAAAGTTAGGTCTCTTTTCTGCATGGAGAAATAACTGAGTTTCAGTAGGCTCTATCTTAATTTCCACAGACTTCCTTGGTTTCATATCCTATTTTTGATAGAGAGAAAATTAGTAGTGAGAAGTACAGTGAACACTGGTTCCCCAGTCTCCCTCCAATACATGAGATTTGTATATTTTCTTTCGATTGGAAGGAAATTGTCCAGGAAGTGATTCCCAACATGGCAACTGTAATCTTACCCTAACTATAATTATTTTTTTCTAATTGCAAAGTACACACAAATTGTAGAACATACAAACATGTCAAAAATTAAAATCATCCATAATCTCACTAGTCAGAGGTAACTATTAACATTTTTATATATTTAGTCTTTCATATGGTATACATTTTTTCCAAAAATGGTCATGTGTAGTAAATAATTTGCTAACTTGCTTTCTAAATGAATATATTATGAATATATACTTGCTAAGTACTATATTTTGTATAAATCTTAATTCCTGCACATATTCCATATCAAAGTGGTATTCTTGAAAACTGGATTATTTCTAATTTTTTATTTTCATCAGCAATGCTGTAAAAACTATCCTTACATAAATATTTTCAAACATCCACGATTATTTCCTTAAATTTCTAAAAGTGAAACCATTACATCAAATTTTTTTTTTTTTTTTTTTTTTTGAGACGGAGTCTCGCTCTGTCACCCAGGGTGGAGTGCAGTAGCACGACTTGGCTCACTGCAACTTCCACCTCTCGGGTTCACACCATTCTCTTGCCTCAGCCTCCCGAGTAGCTGGGACTATAGGCGCCCGTCACGACGCCCGGCTAATTTTTGTATTTTTAGTAGAGACGGGGTTTCACTATGTTGGTCAGGCTGGTCTCGAACTCCTGACCTCTTGATCCGCCCGCCTCAGCCTCCCAAAGTGCTGGGATTACAGGCGTGAGCCACCGCGCCCGGCCTACATCAATGTTTATCCAGTTTTTGTTTGTTTGTTTTGACGGAGTTTTGCTCTGTTGCCCAGGCTGGAGTGCAGTGGCATGATCTTAGCTCACAGCAACCTATCTCCCAGGTTCAAGTGATTCTCGTCTCAGCCTCCCGAGTAGCTGGAACTACACGCATGAGCCATCACACTCAGCTAATTTTTTTTTGTATTTTTAGTAGAAACAGGGTTTCACCATGTTGGTCAGGCTGGTCTCAAACTCCTGACCTCAAATGATGTGCCCGCCTCGGCCTCCCAAAGTGCTGGGATTACAGGCGTGACCCACCGCTCCTGGCACATTTTAATAGGTAACAAATGATATAGCGCCCCCCCTTTTTTTTCTGATTTGATTATTAGTGAGGTCCAATATTCATGTTTAAAGGATTTTTATACTCCTTCCTCAGTAAATTGCTTACCAAATTTTTATGAGGTGTCCATCTTTCCTTATTGATTTGTAAGACTTATTTTATGAAAAGTAAACTCTTGGGATACAGTTTCTATTTACCAAGAACCCAAGCAGAAATTCCTATCTCTTATTAACAAGAATCCCATTATGTCCCTTAAACATTTAGTTACTTCCATCTTACAGAAACTAGAAGCTATACAATTAACAATGTTCCCATGTCAATTTTTAAAACCCAACTGTGGCCCACATTTAGTGTCCTCGTAGTTTTCATACTATAGATTCACTTCTAATCCTGGTCATTTTTTGTGCCATCTTTTTTTTTAATGAGACGGAGTCTCGCACTGTCACCCGGGTTGGTGTGCAGTGGCGCAATCTCGGCTTGCTTCAAGCTCTGCCTCCCAGGTTCAAGCAATTTTCCTGCCTCAGCCTCCCAAGTAGCTGGGACTACAGGCTCGTGCCACCATGCCCAGCTAATTTTTGTATTTTTAGTAGAAATGGGGTTTTTCACTATGTTGGCCAGGCTGGTCTTGAACTCCTGACCTCGTAATCTGCGTGCCGGGGCCTCCCAAGGTGCTGGGATTACAGGCGTGAGCCACCGCGCCCGGCTGTGCCGTATTTTTTCTTTCTTCCTTTATGGCATGTTAAACTCCTGATGTCTTGATTTTATGGGTTTGTTTTGGTTTTTTTTGAGATGGAGTCTTGCTCTGCTGCCCAGGCTGGAGTGCAGTGGTGCAATCTTGGCTCACTGCAACCTCCGCCTCCTGGGTTCCAGCAATTCTCCCGTCTCAGCCTCCCGAGTCGGGATTACAGAAATGCACCACCACACCTGGCTAATTTTTGTATTTTTAGTAGAGATGGGGTTTCACCGTGTTGGCCAGGCTGGTCTTGAACTCCTGACCTCAGGTGATCCGCCCGCCTCAGCCTTCCAAAGTGCTGGTGTGAGCCACCGAGCCCAGACATGATTTTATGTTTTAAATGGCTTTAAGTCCTTTTTGGAATAAGGTAAAATATAATTAAATATGTCAATATTTTAACTATTTACTAATAATATTTATTGCACAATAAGACTCCCCACAGGCCATTCTACATTTTTATGAAAACATCTGTAAGAGGAATTTTAAAAGGCCTGACAAATTATTTGAAGAGGGAAGCAGAGGGACTAAAAAGGAAAGAAGCTAACAATGGTGGTCTATGAAAATGAAATAAACAAAACAAAAAAACAGGATTTAATTTCCAACCTTGAAATGAGTCCCTTGACTGTTTTGTTTGAGGTTCATATAACTTGGTTTTCTGGTATGTCCAGGATTACGTGAGAGTAACAGAGATTGGGGTGGAAATTGAGATGATGCTGTATTCAAATGAGACTGACCATAAATTGGTAGTTGAAGTTGGGAGATGATATAGGAGGGTTCGCTGTGTATTTTCTTCATTTTTGTATATGGTTACAGGTTTCCATAGTGAAGAGTTCATTCAATACAGAAAAAAAAAAAATCACCAAGTCTCATCAAAAGCATCTATGCTAATATTTTGGCATATTTCTTCCCAGTTTTTAAAGAAATATGTAGGTTCAAATCTTTCTAATTCTCACTTTTTTCTATTATTCTTTTTGTGCATCAGAACCCTAAAATGGGTTTGGCAATCACATCCCATACAAATCCAAGTTCTTCACATCCTCTAAACAAAGAATCTGGTAGAGATGTGTGTATCTCTAAAGGTTACCTTCAAATGTCCTGCTTACATTTCAAACTTCAAATGCAAAATTAATTCAACAGATAAGCCAGATCTAAGAAATGTATCTTTTCTCCAACGGGAAAAAGGAAATGTAATGGGGCAATACTGTCAAATGGAAGTACTATTTGGCCTGGCATGGTGGCCCATGCCTGTAATCCCAACACTTTGGGAGGTTGAGGAGGAAGAATCCCTTGAGCCCAGGAGTTCGAGCCTGCAGTGAGTAATAATCTTGCCACTGCATTCCAGCCTTGGTGACAAAGTGAGACCCTTTCTCTAACGCTGGTTTGGTTGGGATTTATTATTACTCTCACAGACTTCATATAGGAGGAATTTCTGGTTTCAACAAAGTGCAGGATTTAGTAATGTGCTTATATCATTAAGTCAAAATTTAGTGCAGGACGGAGCTAGTGGGCAAGTCTCTTAGTCTCAAGAAAAAGGGCACTAAGAAACATAGCCCAGGCATTTAGGCTTCCTCTTACATTACTGTGGTCTGCAATGAGGTCTCCTGGAGCACAAGTTTCACTTCTCCCCAGATCATCTTTAGTTGTACTCTACATTTTTTCACGTTATTTTCCCCCTCTCCTAATTAACTTTTCAAAGGATAGAAGCCATGCTCTCTTGTATTCTCTTCAGGAGCAAGTTCAGCTGGGGCACCCAACACTGGTTGAATTGTCTATTTGAATAAAAGAATGTTTTTCATTTGTGAAGAAGCAACTCAACCACCATTGGTATGCTAAGAACCTTTTGAGTTTTGTTTTTTATTTTGCTGGGAGGAGATACGTGATTTCCACGTATACTCTTTGGTCTGCATCTCAGGTAACTAAAGGCATTAGCAAATGGCTCTCATTTACCATCTGACAGTTATTTGCTCTTAATTTCATAGTGCCTTTAAGTGTTAGGCTGTTACATGCATTCTCTCATCTTCTCACTTAATTGTACATGGTGGAGGGTATGGGCCATGTTCAGTTTCCCTTTATTCTTTGAACCTATCTCTTCTAGGCCTTGTCTGCTCTTGGGGAAGATGGTCTTCTTTGCATGTTGGCCTTTATCAGAAAAAACAAGAGCACCTGAAGACACACAGGCATGTGCACATACGTGCATGCACAAACACACACTTCCTGGAACAGCAAAAGAATTAAGGAAGAAGTTATTGAAACCGTAATGTATAATTAACAATTGCAGATGTTCTGAGGAAAGAGAGGGGAGTCAAAGGAATCGGAGTGGGCCCCATATGTCTTTAGTGACTCAATTCCTGACTCGGTGAACTCAAAAGTTGCTTACCTTTCTGCAGATGAGTAAACTTAGAATCACAAGTTCATTTAATCCCATTCAAAATGGCAGGCTTTTAAAACTAAAAATATAAATAAATACCTATAAACACACCACCCACAAGAACTAGAAGATAACCAATAACACATGTTGTGGGGCAGGACCTGATGTGGTCATGTGTTCCATCTCAGTTTGAATCCTGGCTCTGCTGCTTCCTAGCTGTGTACCTTGGATAAGTCATTTACCCTCTCTGCTGCAGTTTATCTGTAAAGTAAGACAACAGTACACACTTGATAAAATTATCATGAGCATTAAGGAAGCTACTGTGCATAAAACTCTTCATATGATGTGCCAAGCACTGCTCTATGTTTGTTAGTAGTATTTATGTGCCTGTATATATATTACCGTATACATTTAGATCTCAGAATATTCAGCAAAAGCTAATCTAGCCTCATGGAAGCTACTTTCTATAGCCCTGGTTCTATTATTTCCCTTAAAACCTGATGAATAAATGAAGAATTAGGACATGATATCACCAACTCATGAACCTCAGCCATGGAACCCCAATGCCTGGCACAATACTACAAAAAGGACTTGAGAAAATACTTTCCTAGTAAAATTACAGGATTAACCAATATAAGAACTGTAGGCAGGCCGGGCGCGGTTGCTCACGCCTGTAATCCCAGCACTTTAGGAGGCCAAGGCAGGTGGATCACAAGGGTCAGGAGTTCAAGACCACCCTGGCCAAGATGGTGAAACCCCGTCTCTACTAAAAACAAAAAATTAGCCGGGCGCGGTGGTAGGCGCCTGTAGTCCCAGCTACTCAGGAGGCTGAGGCAGGAAAATCGCTTGAACCTGGGAGGCAGAGGTTGCAGTGAGCCGAGATCGTGCCACTGCACTCTAGACTGGGCGACAGAGCAAGACTCCACCTCAAAAAAAAAAGAACTGTAGGCTATGAATGTCCAACACTACTTTCTTAGCACCACTAGAAAGTAGTGACATGGCACTGAGAAAGTGGTTTTATTTTCCAGTTTGAAGTAAACTATTGGCCAGAGTGGGATTTTTGCACCCATATGGGAAAGCAACACCATTAACCATTTCCTCCCCACACGCATTCCAACATCTGAACCCAATCCTACCAACACCCAGAAAGCAACAACAATGTAAACATCCATATTCAGTTTATTTTTAAACAGAGGGGCACGTACCCACAGAGAAGCAGGACTGAGAACCATCATGGGGGCTTGCTTGAAGTGATCTGCCCCAGCCTTCTGACTTCAGAGTGTCTCATGATCCAATGGCCATGGGGACGGAGCTGCCCCTTGATAGGATGCACTTAAGCATGGTCAATTCCCCCTTCCCCCAAAGGAAATGGAGAAAAGGAGCCAAGAAGTCAATGAATCCCTGGAATATTGTCCCAGAATCCTTCCAGGGATGGTATACGACTGGCCACCAGTCCACAAATGTGACTGGTAAGGGATCTAGTAACAGAGGATGGAGTTGGGCAGAATATTATCCTGGATGATATGCACCCAGCACTAGAATACACCTTTCATTAGAATGAAGAGAACAGACAAAGCCCTCAGAAAAGATACAAAGGCAGAGACATTGATTAGAACATTATCTCATAACAGAGGTGGGGCCATTACCCACCATTATTGTAAAATAACTGTAACTAACCAAAACACATACAGGCTTCTTTAATGGAGTTAATAAAACTATGGCACATTGGGAATCAGGGGCAGAGGTACTGTTCCCAGACGGAAAACTGGGATAAAGGGAGCCATGCTGACAGGGCCTTATTCCAGTCTAGGTTGTTAGAAAGGAGCCCTAGCCCAGAAATGACAGCAAATAGCCATAATCATTATGTGGGGCTGAACCAGAGGAAGCCAGGCTGAGCCAAGAAGCTGGAAGTATCTTGAACGGCTCTCCAAATCCAAAGATTATCCATACTCTTTATCCCTCCAGCGATGTGTAAAACCAGAAAGTATGAAACACTGGAGGTGGACATCTGGTTTTTATTTCTAGGATATCTTGATACATCTCATTACATTTCACAATCTGCATGGGAAGGAAAAGGATGGTAGAGAACATGGACATCCTGTCTCCCACTGCAAGGGCGTGGAACATGGTAAGGATACCCAGCTGTGACAGGACGTGGCAAGGCAACAAGATGCCTTGTGCCTGGCGTAGGATTACAGCCAACAGCCCTTTTGGCCTGAATTCACCTCCTCAAGGGGAGGTCTCCATGGAATGACCATGATTCCCAACATGGCCAGAAAACCCATCTATCCCACTCATGGGGCAGATGATCAGAGGAGCTGCACTTTTCCCTCCCGAGTAACTCAGACTGAAGTAGGGCCGGACAGGCCCACAAAAGGTAGCATGAGAGAAAGTGAAGGTGTGACACCTCTCTGTCACGTTGTAGAAGGAGACCTCACCAGCATCATAGTCCAAGAAAATCCCCACCCGCTGGAGCGGGGTCCGCAGGGGTAGGGCAGTCATTGGGGAGGTAAGAGCCCAATATTCTTTCCCATACCACAAAGACACTGCCCAGAATCCATTCTGGGGGGCTGAGGTTACTCCACCTTTTCTGCACACTGAGTCTTCACAGACACCTATGGTCCACTTGGCTTTATCTCCCACCTCTACCTCCCAATAATGTCTCCCGGCGATGAAGCATGGAGAGCCCAAGACACAGGGAAACAGATTGAACCTCTCGGGGTTGTCAGGCAGGTCCTGTTGGAGGTAACTGTACCGCACTTGCCGCAGATTATCAGAGAGGATCAGGCTGGGGTAGGCCGTGTCTGGGTCCAGAGTCACGTCCACTGCAGAGACACAAGGAAGACAGTCAGCCGTGGGCCAGGAGAGCCTATTTTAGAACACCCAGCGCCTTTCTACTACCTCCCCAATAATAAGAGGTTCCCACTGGAGGTTGCACGTATTTTATTTAGAATATATTCTAAACTTCACATTTCAAAAATTACTGCTTGGATTAGCTGGTTACCAGAATACACTGAAAATACAGAATTTTAGCCCCGTATCTTTTCTTTCACATCTGAAGCCACAATATCCATCATGAACTGATTTTAAGAGATAGGGTCTTGCTCTGTTGCCTAGGCTGGAGTGCAGTGGTGTGGTCATAGTTCATTGTAACCCCAAACTCCTGGGCTCAGGTGATTCTCCCGCCTAAGACACCCAAGTAGCTGGGACCATAGGTGTGCACTACCACCCTAATTTTAAAAAATTTTTTGTAGAGATGAGGTCTTACTATGTTGCTCAGGATGGTCTCGAACTCTTGGCCTCAAGCAATCCTCCCACCTCAACTTCCCAAAGCAATGGGATTTCAGGCATGAGCCACTGTGCCTGGCAGATACGCTGAATTGAGGTTTTCTTACACGCTCATCATCCCTTATTCTGAAAATTCCAGGGGCCCCAAGTTTCACAGAATTCAGAATATTACAGGTTTTAGACAGGCAGCATTCTATAATGAAGTATTAATAGATCTGCTGTGAGATTCATGAATGTTTACATAATGAAGGATAAAGGCTCTAAACAGTACCACATAAATTCAGGTTTTGATGCTATAATTAATTTCCCACAAAATAATGAAAAAGGTTTTGGCTTTCAGAGATTTGGGATTTTAGAACTGTGGGTAAGGGACTGGGAACCTGTATCAGTATGCTTACTTTTTAAATCACTCTTTTAAAATTATTTTTTACTTTTTTTTATTTTTTGAGATGAGGTCTCACTCTGTCACCCAGACTGTAGTACAGTGGCATAATCATGGCTCACTGCAGACTTCCCATTTCAGCCTTCCAAAGTGTTAGGACTACAGGTGTGAGCCACTACACCCAGCCCAAATCACTCTTTTATCCATTCTATAAGATCTTTACTCTGCACATCGAAGCTCTATTCATCTTCTTCTAATGTCCAGTCCAAAACACACATCCTCCAAGTTTTTCTTAATCTGCCCAGGCCATTACACTTACTGTTCTGAAATCTAAAACTGTGTATGACCCATGTCATCTCCTCTGGCATTTAGTATTACAGCATCTTGCTATCATCAAGTGTTTTCCTGCTTCAAAAACACTGATAATGGGCTGGATATGTGGCTCATGCCTGTAATCTCAGCACTTTGGGAAGCTGAGGCAAGAGGATTGCTTGCATACAGGAGTTTGAGACCCTGTCTCTACAAAAAATAAAAGTAAAAAAATTAGGCAAGCATGGTGGTGCATGCCTGTAATTCCAGCTACTCAGGAGGCTGAGGCAGGAGGATCACTTGAGCCCAGGAGTATGAGGCTGCAGCAAGCTATCACCATGCCACTGCACACCAGCCTGGGCAACAGAGAACCTGCCTCTAAAATGAATAATAAAAAATTTAAAAAATTAAAATAATAAATAAATAAATAAAAATACTGATATGTATTCTCTCATTTGCTCCTCACATCTTGTTCAGGAGGAAGAGTCCCAAACATTACCTCTCAGAAATTTAAGCCCACAAATTTTTACTCCCACAAAAGACAGGCAACTGATAGAGGTAACCAAGAACCCCAGAACCCTTGGCTCCTGGTTCAACAATCTGTCTACAACAGCTGCCTACCTTCTTCTTGTGTCATGGGTATACCTCCAACCAGACAATGTAAACCCCAAGAGTAGGATGACTTATGCTCTTCTGTTCCTCTAAAATACCCTGCACAATGTTAGGCAGTGTAGGATACAAGCAAAGTACTCATTTAATACTTGTTGAAAATAAATATGGATCAGAGCCACTGCACACCAAGGACTGCAGATCCACTGTATGTAGAGTCCTTCTCTTCATTTAGAGGATAATTCATAACAGAAGGTGACTGTGACTATGGGACGAATACACCTTAGATTTGAATACTTCTGCAATGTTAAATTTACCCAGGCTCTATAGTAGGGTGAAAGCGGTTGTGAGGGGGAAGGGAAGTTTCAAACTTTGCTCTGAGGCACAGTGATGGGATGACACAAGACTCCTAGACTTCCTCTAGCACTCAAGAGCACTATTGTGGAGCTCAATCAGTCCTGCTTGTCACAAACCATGGTTTGACCCTGAAGCTGGGCGGGCAGAGCAGTGTACTAGTGTACCAGCTCTGTTCTACTTTTGGGGAACTGCGGTTTCCACCCTATAATCCTTCTTTAACACCTGAGATTGATTTTACCCTATGGCTTCAGCTCTGAGACATTTCAGGAGGCAAAGATACTGTTAACACATAGAAACAACTGAGGATTTTTGTGGTTGTTGTGTATCATCTTTATACATGTAACCAAAAGAATCCAAATCTAAGCAATTTCCAAATCATTCATAATAGTAGTTAGGTTCACAAGGATTTTTACTCCTTACCCTAATATGGTTTTGTCTCTCATCACCTACCTGAGTATAACTGAGCCTCTCTTAATTCTGAAAGAATAAAAGAGCAAAGTTATGGAAGTCATGAGGGTTTCCAGGAAATACATAACTAAGGGGGCTTTGGTTAGTCATCATAAAGCAGTGGTCTCCACCAGAAACCCCAGAACCTCTGTTGTTAGTCATGCACTAATTTTTTCATATGATGTATGGCTCTATCATCCAACCAAAAGCTTTAAGGGGAGAGGGATTGGGAATCTTAAGTACAGGGATAACCACATGCCTGAGACTGGTAGAATATGGGATAAAACTGAGCCAAGATCAAGAATTCCACCTTCCAGTGAGTCAGCTGATTCTGCAGAGGGAAACGCGGTTCCAACCCCACGTCATACATAACTTTTGAGTTGCATAAGTCATCTGTGTACAAGAGCTGAATGGCTCAAGTGACACTCACTGACACTCTGGGGTAAACATGACCATTCATTTATAAGGCACTTTATAGTTGAAACAGAATTTTTCACACATTATCCCACTAAGACTTTTAAGTGGCAAGAAAAGAAGAGCCAGATCAAGGAAAGTCATGCCTGAACTAACCACTTCTGGTATTATCCACTGTATTGAGTGGAGTTTCTCCCCATTTGTCTTGCTTGTAGAGGACATGTATCTGCTAGCTCTATGTTGCTAGATGCCCCAAAAAGTATATATCTGAATAGATGCAATGCATATATGAACCCAGCATATACAAAATAGAAAATTATCAAAGATTGTGGGGGTTTGTAATTTCTAATAATTAAGAGAAGGGTTTACCTACATATAAGGATTTCAGAATCCACCAGACTGCCCAGGAATTTTAGTATTCCTGGGTGGAATAATATATGGCC
>NT_167247.2:181172-223548 GCF_000001405.40 Homo sapiens
GGCCAACATGGTGAAACCCCATCTCTACCAAAAATACAAAAATTAGCTAGGTGTGGTGGTGTGTGCCTGTAATCCCAGCTACTCGGGAGGCTGAGGCAGGAGACTCACTCAGGAGGTGGAAGCTGCAGTGAGCTGAGATTGTGCCACTGCACTCCAGCCTGGGCAACAGAGTGAGACTTTGTCTAAAAAAAATTTAAAAAAAGGTTTTAAAGCCTTAATTATGGTGCTTGCTTCAGCAGCAGATATCCTCAAATGGGAACCATGCACAGATTAGCATGGCTCCTGCACAAGGATAACACACAAATTTGTGAACCATTTTCTACTTTTTGTGTTCAATGTTCACAGCAGCACTATTGACAATAGCCAAAAGGTGCAAACAACCAAAATGCCCATCGACTGATGAATAAACAAAACATATTATATATCCATACAATGGAATGTTATTCAGCCATAAAGAGAAATACTGAAACATATATATATGTACTGAAATATATATTTTTTCATATATATATTTTTTGAGATGGAGTCTCATTCTATTGCGTAGGCTGGAGTGCAATGGCACGATCTCGGCTCACTACAACCTCTGCCTCCCAGGTTCAAGTGATTGTCCTGCCTCAGCCTCCTGAGTAGCTGGGATTACAGGCATGCGCCACCACGCCTGGCTAATTTTTGTATTTTTAGTAGGGACGGGGTTTCACCATGTTGGCCAGGCTGGTCTCGAACTCCTGACCTCGTGATCTGCCCACCTCGGCCTCCTGAAGTGCTGGGATTACAGGCGTGAGCCGCCGCGCCTGGCCAGTACTGAAACATATTACAATATGAATGAATCTTTAAAAAAATATGCTAAGTGATAGGCCGGGCGTGGTGGCTCACACCTGTAATCCCAATACTTTGGGAGGCTGAGGTGGGTGGATCACCTGAAGTCAGGAGTTTGAGACTAGCCTGACCAACATGGAGAAACCCCGTCTCTACTAAAAATACAAAATTAGCCAGGGGTGGTGGCGCATGCCTGTAATACCAACTACTCGGAAGGCTGAGGCAGGAGAATCGCTTGAACCTGGCAGGCGGAGGTTGCGGTGAGCGGAGATCGTGCCGTTACACTCCAGCCTGGGCAACAAGAGTGAAACTCTGCCTCAAAAAAAAAAAAAAGTATGCTAAGTGAAGAAAAAGGCTACGTACTGTATGATTTCAATTATATCTAATATCTAGAATAGACTAATCCATAGAGCCAGGAGTTAGGGGTAGAAGGAAATGAGGAGTGATTGCTTAATAGTGTGAGGTTTCCTTTTGGGTGGTAAAAGTGTTTTAGATCCAGACAGTGGTTGATAATTTACAACACTGTGGATTTACTAAATGCTACTTTGTGCCAGAGTTTTACACTTTAAAATGGTGAAATTTAGGTTACGTATATTTTACAATTAAAAAAATGAAGAAGGCTGGAAGGCTGGATGTGGTGGCTCACACCTGTAATCCTAGCACTTTGGGAGGCTGAGGCGGATGGATTGCTTGAGCCCAGGAGTTCAAGACCAGCCGAGGCAACATGGCAAAACTCCATCTCTACAAAAATTACACAAATTAGCCAAGCATGGTGGTTTACGCCTGTAGTCCCAGCTACTTGGGAGGCTGAGGTGGGAGGATCATCTGAGCCTGGGAGGTCAAGGCTGCGGTGAGCCATGATCATGTCACTGCACTCCGGCCTGGGTTTCAGAGTGAGACCCTGTCTCAAACAACAACAATAAAAACTAAGGAAAAAAAAACACTCAAGTCCATCTTGCAAAACCCCAATCCTGGATGAGACTGACCATCTGCTTACTCAGTGCCCACGCCAGAGCAGTCAAGATTTGAGAAAGCAAAGCTGATAAGAAAGTTACACGACAGGGGCTGGGCACGGTGGCTCGCACCTGTAATCCCAGCACTTTGGGAGGCCGAGGCAGAAGGATCACCTGAGGTCAGGAGTTCAGGACCAGCCTGGCCAACATGGTGAAACTCCGTCTCTATAAAAAATACAAAAATTAGCTGGGCGTGGTGGCACATGCCTGTAATCCCAGCTACTTGGGAGGCTGAGGCAGGAGAATTGCTTGAACTTGAGAGGGGGATGTTGCAGTGAGCCAAGATTGCACCACTGCACTCCAGCCTGGGCAACAGAGCAAGAGTATGTCTTAAAAAAAAAAAAAAAAGAAAGTTACACAACAGGGCAGAATGGTTACACTATAAATAGATGTTCACTGACCAAATACTCCTACTAGTTCTCGCAAACCAACTGTCTTTCCCATACTCTGAAACAATCATTTCTTCCCATACAACAGAAGACTCTCTGACACTAATTCCTGGCATATGTACTTTAGTTCTCATTTCCACCTGCCTTCTCAGGAACCGCACATTGCTGATCAGTACATGGTTTCTTTCTTCCTTTCTTTTTTTTTTTTTTGGAGACAGGGTTTCGCTCATTGCCCAGGCTGGAATGCAATGGCGCAATCTCGGCTCACTGCAACCATCGTCTCACTGGTTCAAGCGATTCTCCTGCCTCAGCCTCCTGAGTAGCTGGGATTACAAGCATGCGCCACCACACCCGGCTAATTTTGTATTTTTAATAGAGATGGGGTTTCTCCATGTTGGTCAGGCTGGTCTCAATCTCCCGACCTCAGGTGATCTGCCCACCTCGGCCTCCCAAAGTGCTGGGATTACAGGCATGAGCCACCGTGCCCGGCCAGTATATGGTTTCTTGTGGCTTCAGTGTTCTCCCTCACCTAGAAACCTTACAACATATACTCCTTTCCATACGTATTTTGAAAATATGTCTAACTTCTAGTTTCTTTAACCAACCCTTCCAGATAAAACTCCATAATCCTGTCTCGTCTCTAAGTATTTTATTACAACCCCTTAACAGTTGTACTTGAAATAGTCATCTACTTGTGTAGTCTCCATTCACCTGACCTAGTCACTACTCAACTCCCCCTAATGTGGCTCCTGCCCCAATTATTCCATTGTGATAGTTCTACCTAAGATCACCAATGATGGTCATGTTATTGAATCAAATGGGTATCAGCTTTGATATTATTTGACCTCAACTGCATTACTATGCTGTCCACTCCCTTCTTGCTTCGTCTCAAAAATAAAAAAAGAAAAAAAGAAAGAAAGAAATACATTTTTCTGATTTTTACCATTTAAAAATGTAAACTGGCCTGACGCTGTGGCTCACACTTGTAATCCCAACACTTTGGGAGGCCGAGGAGGGCAGATCACGAGGTCAGGAGTTTGAGACCAGCCTGACCAATATGGTGAAACCCCGTCTCTACTAAAAATACAAAAATTAGCCAGCCATGGTGGTGTGCGCCTGTAATCTCAGCTACTCAGGAGGTTGAGGCAGGAGAATCGCTTGAACCCAGGAGGCGGAGGTTGCAGTGAGCCAAGATCGCACCACTGCACTCCAGCCTGGGCAACAGAGCAAGACTCAATCTCAAAATAAATAAATAATATTAAATTAAAATTAAAATGTAAAAACCATACTTATTGCCCAGGACATACAAAAACAGGGGATGGACCATAATTTGCTGACCCTTGCCCTATGCCATCATCCATTTTTATTTTTATTTTTTATTATTTATTTATTTTTTTGAGACAGAGTCTCGCTCTGTTGCCCAGGCTGGAGTACAGTGGCGCGATCTTGGCTCACTGCAACCACTTCCTCCTGGTTTTGGGCAATTCCTTGCCTCAGCCTCCCGCGTAGCTGGGACTACAGGCACACCGCCATGCCTGGCTAATTTTTGTATTTTTAGTAGAGACGGGGTTTCCCCATCTTGGCCAGGCTAGTCTTGAAGTCCTAGACCTTGTGATCCACCCGCCTCGGCCCCCCAAAGTGCTGGGATTACAGGTGTGAGCCACTGCACCTGGCCCGCCATCATCCATTTTTAATGGCTTTTATCAAATACCTATAAGAACTATCTGATCGCCACACTAAAATATAATTCAGGAAAGCTTATTTGGCACTTAATCCCAGTGCCTAGAATAGTGCCTGACACAAAGCAAATAATTAATACGCACTGAATGAGCAAACGACAGACAGGCATTAGCTCATTTCCTGTAGTCTTGCCGGGGTAGGTCTGCTGCAGCTTTATCACCTGCTCTACCAAGGTTAAATCACAGGACTGCTCAGGTAACCTAACCACTCCTGCTCAAGTGCTCATTGTTTTGTGGCTATAGTAATACATTAAAACTACAGGATACTGGAGTGAGGAGAGTCTTTGAATGACATGTGGTCTAAGCCCCTCATTACTGAACAAATGAGGTCACTGAGGCCCAAAAAGGTTGAGAGCCTTGCCTGTAATCAGACCACTTGTCAGTGCTGTGTAGGCACAAGCACCAGGTCTTCTTTTTGCCATTTCTATGAGACAACGCAATTGACTAATTCAAGTTGTGTGAACCAGAACTTCTAGTTTACACAGTTTCCTTCCAAGGTGCACAATATAGAGTTTGGCAAGCTCTTGCTATTCCTGCAGAGTTAAAAAGAAGACAGGGGGTCCTGGATACTACTTGGCAAAGGAGAAGGGACGATATTTTCAGTGGGTGCTGCTCTAGCAGGGCTCTGCAAGCCTTACCTGCAGGAGCTCCCTGGTGGGCTGCTGCTGCTTCTCTTCTAGCTGAGCGATCAGGCTGCTGAGGTGGGAGATGTTGCAAGAGAACTGGGTGATGGCACCATTGATGCTATTGTAGATGGCCAAGTCTAGCTCCTCAAGGCGGGCCAGGAGGCGATACTCATGCTCCTTTAAGGAGTGATACAGCTGCTCAAACTCCCAAACAATCTTCTCCCTCTCCATCTGGGTTAGGCTCTATGCAGACGACAGGGAAAGGCAGTAAAGAGAAAAACGGCTCATTTCTAGGGCCTTCATAGTTCTCCTGTGACCATGTAGCCCAAGACCTCATTATGGATTAAAACAAGCACAGTGCTAACTCATTATTTCCAGTCTTTACTGACTGGATATATAATGCCCAGGAACTGAATTACCCCAGTGATTATTAAGACATAGTCCCTGTTCTCAAGCAACTCAGAGAAGTGAGTCAGGTTCATATGATATACATAGTCATGGATGGGTAATTAAAGATAGGGTGACAGCCTGCAATGAAAGAAACTGGTACCATCTTCACAGAAGCAATTTCACACAATGTTCATGTGATGAACAAGAATTCACCACATAGGCAATGAGCGGGAAGCCTTTCCAGGCAGAAGAAATGGCACAGGCAAAAGAGTGGGGAGAGAAAGCAAATGGTGCTATCTGGCTGGAGCACATGAGTGTTGAGGGAAGGGACCAGAAAAGGTAAGGCCTTGTCATGCCTGGCCTGGGAGGCTGGGGGTAAGGACTCTATCCCAACTGGGAAGCATGGAAGATTGTCACACAGGAAAGTGACAGGGTCAGATATGTGCCCTATGGAGGATGGAACAACCAATAACAGCTTCCTTGCCCAATTTCCCTGGGCCCTTCATATGTAATCCATACCCGCTGTCTGTCCTTCACGGGTGTTCACCAACTGCTGTCTCTAGCTTTGGGTAGGAGGGGGAGAGGTGCTCTCCCCACGATTCCCTCTTGGCGCTCATTTGTTTGCCATAATTTACTGTCCTTCGTTCTTCACCCAACCCCCACCACCAACAGGACTCTATTATAAACTTTTGTTCTAAACAAGGAGCCAGGCTGGGCGCGGTGGCTCACGTCTGTAATCCCAGCACTTTGGGAGGCTGAGGTGGGCGGATCACCTGAGGTCGGGAGTTCGAGACCAGCCTAACCAACATGGAGAAACACCATCTCTACTAAAAATACAAAAATTAGCTGAGTCTGTTGGCGTACGCCTGTAGCCTCAGCTACCTGGGAGGCTGAGGTGGGAGAATCGCTTGAACTGGGAGGCAGAGGTTGCAGCGAGCCAAAACCTCACCATTGCACTCCAGCCTGGATGACAGTGAGACCCTGTCTTAAAAAAAAAAAAAAAATTCCCATATACCCCTAATATAAATTAACACATCAGCCACTTGTTAAGGCCTTGAGACTGGAGGAAGAGGGCAGAGTAAAAAATTCAGAATTAAGGCATTGTTAAGAAAGGAGAATAAGCCAAAGAGAAGCAACAGTGGGGATTACACAAATCCACTATTAGCAATTGTCTGCAGAATGGTACCAACGCAAGCTAACTGTATCCAATAATTTTACCTATCTCAGCTTTGCCAAGGATCAACCCTGGTCTACGCAGTTAGCAGGTTAAAGTAAACTGACAGGTCTGATTTCCAAGGGTTCCAAACTTGGCTTCTCCATGCTTTCCCCAAAAGTAAGGGAATCTTAGTTCTCCGGGTGAGTTCCCACTGCCATGTGCGGTTGATCCACCTCTACCTACAAGTTCTGGGTGACATGCTGGACAAGTTTAAGGGAAGTAACATCAGCTCTACAGAAGAGGAGAGCACCAGCAGAACCAACTGTGAATTCCAACAACCCTTACCAAGAGTTCAGCTCGTGCCTGTTCCCCCTGGGCCCGACGTCTCTTCTTTAAATCTTTCACTCTTTTTAAATGGTCGAGCTGGTTCTGGATTTGCTCCTGAGAAAAGCAAAACAGATGGGCAGTTCAAAATTAGGTAGACCTTAGCATCAGCATGGTACTTCTTATCACACATGGAGTCCACACACCTGATGCCAAGTCTCCAGTTGGCGCTTGTCCTTAGGCCACACTGCCACCCACAAGAGACTCAGGGCGCAGGGGCAAACAAGCCACTCCTTTGGCAATCTGTGTCTATCTTAGCAGCCTGTGGCTTCAACCACTCAGCTACCTCGTCAGGACTATTTGTGTCTATCTTAAACAATGAGTCATCTACCTGTCCCTGGTAGGATATTGCATGACTTAGCGGAACTGTGACTGGAGTAGGAGGCTTAGAACTATGTTGTATTGTAGCTCTTCCATATAGGTACACTGTGAAAGTGACTTATTTCCCTCATGTGTGAAATGGGCAAACACCATCTTCCCAACCTACTCAAGAGTTCTCACCAGAGTGAGTGAAATAATATAGCTGAAAGGTCCATAAATGTTAAGTGATTGCACATGAATGTACTCATATTTAAACACGGACATAATTGTGTACGCATTCCTGAAGCCCTCAACGTACAGAAAATACACAGTATCATGGACTCCTTGAAGGTCACCTTACAACTGTTTTATATGTAATACTTTGTTTCCACGTTTCTGTTTAGCTGTGCCAGTTCACAAAGGGCTCTGTGAGTCACATGATTCCACAATATTCCTCATAACTGTGTTATCTCCTGAGTCTCAGAGTGGTTAAGTGACTTACTCCAGCAGCGAAAAGCTGTTCTTTTCTGTGAGTTTCTAGACCAGGACGGATTGCAGGAAAGTGCTGGGGAAATGCTTATAGACTAAGGAATGGGCATAAGTCAGTTAACGTCCAACTGCGTTTTGTCTGAGAGCCGATGGGAGTAAGAGTGTCTGCAGCTTGTCGATGTGTACGCGGTTTTATGCACTTCTTTTAAACTGTCAAAAGGATGTCTCCGTGTACAATGTGTCCGTGAGACAGGTAACATGGGGGTAAACAGAGAAAAGAGAGTGGGGGTGGGGACACTCCTGCCTTCCTCGCCAGCTACAGGTTTTCCTCCAAATCTGAGTGCTGAGGCTCTGGAGCGGACAGAGAGGAAATGACGGCTGTGAACCACACGTCCGGCTCAGCCATTTTCTAGGCGGAAAAAAGGAAGCCCCTTTGGCTCTCTCCTCCCTTTGTCCGACTCGCGCTCCCGCCCTCCCGGATCCGCGCCCTCACCTTGAAGCCCTCCACCGCCTCCTCGAGCGGCAGCACGCTGTGGCCGCGGTGCTCGCGGGAGCGGTCGCACACCACGCAGATGGGCATCTGGTCCTCCTCGCAGTACAGCTTCAGGGGCTCGCGGTGCTTCTCGCACACGCCCATCTCGCCGCCGGGCCCCGACGGCCGCTCGGTGCGCAGCTGCTTTACCAGTTGGGTCACGTTGGCCAGGTGCCGGTTGGGCCGCATGTGCCTCTGCGGGAAGGTCTCCCGGCACTGCGGGCACGACACGTTAGTCTCTGCCGTGCCCCAGCAGCGGGCGAGGCACGCGCAACAGATGTTATGGCCGCAGTCGAGCATCATGGGCTCTGCGAAGTACTGCAGGCACACGGGGCAGGTGGTCTCCTGCTGCAGGCACTCGGCCACACTCCCGGAGGCCATGGCGCCGGCCTGCGGGGGCGCACGGGCATGGGCCCCGGCGCCGAGCTCCGCACTGAGCCCAACTCTCCGGCGCTCTCTCCGGTTCGCTGTTCCTGAGAGGCACCGGGCGGACGGAGGGCGGCGCCTCCCGGGCCCGTATCCCAGACGCGCCCGCGCACCGAAGGCTTGGAGTGGCCGGGCCGATGCCTGCGCCTGTGCCCCCTAAGCGAGAGCGGGAATACGGCCGGCTCACCGAGGCTCGCGGCCACGCTAGTGGGGCAGGAAAGGGTAGCCGAGGGTCAGAGTCCCAGGGCCAGGCGGGCAAAGCGCGCAAGACAACGTGGCCGCGTCCGAGCGGATGCCGGCGGCAGCGTAAACCCCACCCCAGCGCGAGCGGAAGAGGCGGCTCGCGGGGGCGGGGCTTGGCTCGCGCTTCCAGCGAGTGACAAGATTTCGTGGCCTGGGGGCCTGAGCTGTTTCCTCTTGGAAAGGCCGAGGAGGCTCCGCCACTCTCCTTTGGACTGGTCGCGCTGAAGCTCTATCCTAGGGCACTGGTCGCAAGAGCAGATGGTGCCACACGCTCCGGGCCTACAAACTTCAGCGGCTGCCGGGCCCGGGCCCCTCGTCTTTTGTTGGGTTTCCTCTTGGTGCCAGGTCTCAGCCCCTGCAAAAGAAAGCTGGCTTTGGCCGCGCGCAGTGGCTCGCGCCTGTAATCCCAGCATTTGGGAGGCCAAGGCAGGTGGATCACGAGGTCAGGAGATCAAGACTATCCTGGCCAACATGGTAAAACCCCATCTCTACTACCAATAGAAAAATTGGCCGGGCGTGGTGGCAGGCGCCTGTAGTCTCAGCTACTCAGGAGGCTGAGGCAGCAGAATCCCTTGAACCCAGGAGGCGGAGGTTGCAGTGACCCGAGATCGCCACTGCACTCCAGCCTGCGGGACAGAGGGAGACTCTGTCTCAAAAAAAAAAAAAAAAAAAAAAGAAACGAAAAAATGAAAGCTGGCTTTGTATAGGTGCTGGGGAGCGCAAACACCTGGCCTCCCCAAGAGGCTGGAGGATGAGGAGGGTCACCGACTGAGCCCACCTGATAAGTGAGGCCTTTTATTAAACAGCCCCATTTGTAGGCACTTGCAGTTTTGTTTAGAAAAAGAAAGGTTTAATTATCAGATGGTAACATTTCTGTGTGTCAATAACAAGCCCAGTTCTGCTACCTCTCACTTGTGCCCAAGCAAGTTGGTTTACCATTCATTTACCTCAGTTTCTCCTCGTGTGAAATGGGGATGATAATTGTACCGCAGTAAGAAGTAGATTTCGTTACATCTTTTACTTTTTGAACCATAAGATTGTTTATCCATTAAAATGGTATTAAAATGCCCACTACGTAGGGTTGTTGTATTGAGTAGCAACTAAAAATTGCTTGCTCCTTTCTGAAGTATAGAGAAACTAAGAATCCTGCGGTGACCCAGGGTCTTGGAGTCCCACAATACTCATTGTCTTATCATCCAGTAGACCTCCAGCATTTTTATGTTGCTTTCTTATCCCTTACTTGGTGTTTCCTAGTTTTCTTTGAGATTTTCTCAATATTGTCTTGCTATCTGAGCAAGGCGGGCTTCTGCTTCCAGACCATCACTTTATTTTTATTTTTTCAAAGTGAAAGTAAGATTATTAAGAAAATAAAGGAATAAAGAATGGCTACTCCGTAGGCAAAGCAGCCCACATCATCACTTTAGAGAGTTCCACTCTGGTCCTCTTCCCCATGGGACAAGAAGTCTGAGGGATTAAGTGGACTTGCCAGCCCCAAACCCACATCTACCTTCTCAACCATACTCTGAGTACCCAGTCATTCAAATTCCAGTCCCAAATAGCTTTAGCCCATTTCCAGAAAAATGTAGAGTACTTGGGCCAGGCCACACCACAGTCTGGTCTTGGTTTGAGATTGGGTCAACAATGAAATTTGTAAGAATTAAAGGATATGTCTATTCTCATTTACTCCAAAAAGGACTAATAAGCATTGCAATACAGTGCAGAAATATGAGAGATATGGATAGGTAGATAAAGCTGCCCTTCATCTTCTCCTTTACTTGGGGGATGCAAGCCTTGAGTTTGGCTTTGTTTTTCAGAATTGATTGTGTTTATCTTACCAACCCTTTATTACCTCTGGAGGCAGGTGACCTGGGGGTAAAGAAAGGTAGAACAGGCAGGGTGTGGTGGCTCATGCCTGTAATCCCATCACTTTGGGAGGCTGAGGCGGGTGGATCGCTTAAGCCCAGGAGTTCAAGACCAGCCTGACCAACATGGTGAAACCCCGTCTCTACCAAAAATACAAAAACTCGATGGGCACAGTGGTGCACACCTGTAATCCCAACTACTCTGGAGACTGAGGCTGGAGAATCACTTGAGCCTGGGAGACAGAGGTTGCAGGGAGCCGAGATCAGGCCACTGCACTCCAGCCTGGGCAACAGAGCAAGACTCCGTTTCAAAAAAGAAAACAAAAGGAAAAAATTTTAAAAAGGTAGAACAAAATAGATGAGTTAGGTAGAACAAGGTGGGAGTGGGGGAAAGGGAATATTTACATTAGCAATCTCTAACAGTCCCCTTCCTTTTTTTTAATTTAAAAAAGTTACACCTGTCTTTTTCTCAATAAATTTTGTAAGAAAAAAGAAATTTTAAGAGATGGGGTCTTACTATGTTGCCTAGGCTAGTCAAGAACTCCTGGGCTCACGTGATCGTGACCCTCCCATCTCAGCCACCCAAAGTGAGGGGATTACAGGCAGAAGCCACCATGCCCAGCCCCTCTTCCTTGAGTGTTTACTGTCTTCCCTTCATCATCCAGATTTCATGGAATTTTGATTTGCTTAATTTACCTGTTCATGTTAATTTCTATTACTAATCCTAACCTATATTATTGCACCAGTGTGTCAGTTTACAAGTATTTTTCAAAGAATCGGTAACCGTGCAGCCTTCCCATTAATTTCTCTATTTGTACTTTTTCACTGATTCAAATACCACCTCAAGGAATAGAATCATCCTTAAAAATTCTTAAAGAAGAAAATGCTTTTCATTCTGTCGCTTCTTACTCAGACATCTTCAAAGTTTTGTGGGTTTTTTGTTGTTGTTGTTTATTTGTTTGTGTTTGCCTCTGGGACATTGTCCAAATTCTTTAGTATAAAGGCCTAATAAAATTCTTATTAATAGGCCCGGTAGCTCACGCCTGTAATCCTAGCACTTCCGGAGGCTGAGGTGGGCGGATCCCGAGGTCAGGAGATCATGACCAGCCTGGCCAACACAGTGAAACCCCGTCTCTACTAAAAATACAAAAATTAGCCGGGCATGGTGGCGCACACCTGTAGTCCCAGCTACTCAGGAGGCTGAGGCAGGAGAATCGCTTGAACCTGGGAGGCGGAGCTTGCGGTGAGCCGAGATCGCGCCACTGCACTCCAGCCTGGGCGACAGAGCGAGACTCTGTCTCAAAAAAAAAAAAAAGTATATTTTATTAATACTCTTTTTTTGAGACGGAGTCTCGCTCTGTCGCCCAGGCTGGAGTGCAGTGGCGCGATCTCGGCTCACCGCAACCTCCGCCTCCCAGGTTCACGCCATTCTCCTGCCTCAGCCTCCTGAGTAGCTGGGACTACAGGCACCCGCCACCATGCCCGGCTAATTTTTTGTATTTTTTTTAGTAGAGACAGGGTTTCACCGTGTTAGCCAGGATGGTCTCAATTCCCTGACATCGTGATCCGCCCTCCTCGGGCTCCCAAAGTGCTGGGATTACAGGCGTGAGCCACCGCGCCCGGCCTAAAATATACTGTTTTAGGGACAGGCACAGTGGCTCACGCCTATAAACCCACTCTGGGAGGCTGAGGCGGGCGGATGACCTGAGGTCAGGAGTTTGAGACTAGCCTGGCCAACATGGGAAGCCCCGTCCCTACTAAAAATACAAAAATTATCCACGCATGGTGTCGCATGCCTATAACCTCAGCTACTCGGGAGGCTGAGGCAGGAGAATCGCTTGAACCTGGGAGGCAGAGGTTGCAGTGAGCCAAGATTGCGCTATTGCACTCCAGCCTGGGCGACAGGAGCGAGACTCTGTCTCAAAAAATAAATAAAATAAAATATACCGTTTTAAAATGAATTTCCTCCTGCCTCCTCTAAACCTCCCTGCCCTAAGGGAACGAGTGACTTTTACTAGTATTGGCCAAATCCAAGGGACACTTTTCAGTCTTCATCTTAACATCTCGAAGGCATTTTATGTGGAGTCCTAATCAGGGAAAAGGAGTCAGGCTGGTGGGACCAGGGGAAAGCAAAGATAAAGCAAACAAGTGATAGGTCTGCTTTTTTTATGGCCCAGGGCACATGGCCCTCCTGTACATAACTCACAAACTTCCTGCTTACCATCAAACGCCTCGATTTATCAAGCACCTTGGCTGACAGAAGAATGCGGGTTAAGCTTCCTGCTACCTTAGCGTTATCAATCAGTCCAAGTTCCATTGTATAAAATCCCTAGCAAGTCTTTGTTTCTTTGTAGTCAGCTTCTCTTCTGTTGATACTGCCTGTTGTCTCCCTGGCAACATATTTTTCTACTTTCTCTAATAAATCTGCCTTTCTTTACCTACAATGGTCTTGGTAAATCTTTTCCCCCTACACCACAGGCCCAGTTAGTCGTCACTTACCTGTGACATTTTACACTGTTGATCCCTCCCTCCTTGGATCATTCTTCTTCCAAGCAGCAAACTGAGTGGGACCTGATGAGGCCTAAAGTATTTCTGCTTCTTCTATCTCCTTCTCTCTTATCTGTCTTTTACCAACTGATACTAACCTTAGTCTGGAAAAATAAAAAATTATCATAATAAATACAAGAATACAGTACTTAAGAAGCCAACGTATTAGATGAGACAGAATGGGAAATGGAGAAAAAGACAAAATATCAATAAGAATTTAACATTAATATAAGGTCCGGGCGCGGTGGCTTATGCAGGGTAATCCCAGCACTTCGGGAGGCCACGGCTTGAGTTTAGGAGTTTGAGACCAGCCTGGGCAACATGGTGAAACCCAGTCTTTACCAAAAATACAAAAAATTAGCTGGGTGTTGCGGCGTGCACCTGTGGTCCCAGCTACTGGGGAGGCTAAGGTGGGAGGATCCCTTGATCCCAGGAGGCAGAGGTTGCAGTGAGCCGAGATTGCACCACTGCACTCCAGCCTGGGTGACAGAGCCAGACCCCATTTCCAAAAAAAAAAAAAAAAAAAAAAAAAAAGAATTTAGTACAAGATACAGGAGAAATTGCAGGTTGGTGCTATACATTCAATAAATGATTGTGGAATAACTGGCTAGCTACTTGGGAGAAAAAAGATCTCATCTCACTTCTTATACTGAACTATATTATTGATCAATGAAATTTTTTTAAGAAAATTAATCCATAAAAATTCCAGGAAAAAGAAAACTGATTGATTTTTTTTAAGGCACTTGTCATCTGGAAGATCTTTCTAAACATGACCCCACAGAAGTCACAAATGGATAAATTTGGTTACACAGAATTCAAAATTAGATGTCTTCTTATAAAAAAATTTTCTAAACAGCTGAATGATAAAGGAAAATTGGGGAAAGATGTTTTTAGCAAATTAAACAAAGGATGAATTTCCTTGAGACAAAATATTTGCACAAATAAAAGCAAAAAAAGAGAGAAGAAAAATGAGCAAAGGTCATGAACAGATGGTACAGAGAAAAAGAACAAATGGTCAATAAACATGTGAAAAGAGGTGATGTTAATTTTAATTTATGAGATTAGCAAAGATTTAAAACTTTGACAGTATTCAGTATTAATGAGAATATGAGGAATTCCAGTACACTGTGAGAATGTAAATTGGGAGAACACCATTGAAAGCAATTTGACAATTGGGCTGGGCGCGGTGGCTCACGCCTGTAATCCCAACACTTTTGGGAGCTGAGGCGGGTGGCTCACCTGAGGTCAGGAGTTCGAGGCCAGCCTGACCAACACGGAGAAACTCTGTCTCTATTAAAAATACAAAATTAGCTGGGCGTGTTGGCGCATGCCTGTAATCCCAGCTACTCAGGAGGCTGAGGCAGGAGAATAGCTTGAACCCGGGAGGCAGATGTTGCGGTGAGCCGAGGTCACGCCATTGCACTCCATCCTGGGTGACAAGAGCAAAACTCCATCTCGATTAAAAAAAAAAAAAGTAAAAGAAAACAATTTGACAATCACTAAAAAAATTTAAATGCACTCACTCTTAGAACCTTCTACTCTGCTTCTCTCCCATCTGGACAGAGATGTTTGATTATACAAGGATTGCCATTACAGCATTGTTTGGATTTGTAAAATACTGGGACCAACGTCAATATGCTCCAACAGGGGATAAGTTAATGAAAATATTATGCAGGTGTACAATGAAATGCTATGCAGTTTCCAAAAACAAAAACAAAGAAGAAGGAGGAGGAGGAAGAAGAAGAGGAAGAGGAGGTGGAGGAGGAGGAAGAAGAAGAAGAAGAAGGAGGAAGAAGAAGAAGAGGAAGAAGAAGGAGAAGAAGAAAAAGAAGAAATAATCTAATAGGGAAAGGTGTCTGAGATTTATTTACTCATTAATTTATTCAACAAATGTTTGTTGAGTGTCAACTATGTGCCAGTCTTCTAGATTCCAGGACACTGTGTGGAACAAAACAGACAAGGTTGCTGGGGTCATGGAATTACTTTCTAGAGGGAAAGTTGGATGATAAGCAAACCAAGCAATAAACACATGGTATGAAACATGCCATAAAGTGGAATGAATCAGAATATGGAAGATGAAGAGTGATGGTTATTACTTTATATTGGGTCATCAGGGTGGAATCTCTCTGATGAGGTAGCCAAACAGCTGCTGCAGTTTAGAGTCTCAAATTTGCATGTCACTGGGCATTTATCTCAGAGAAATAAAAATGTTTGTTCACCCAAGAATCTGCACAAAACATTGTTCGTAATAGCCAAGCCTAGAAATAATTCAAATGTCCTCGAATGGTGAAGAGTTAAACAGTGGCACATCCATATTATGAAATACTACCCAGAGATAAAAATGAATGAACTACTGAGATAGGCAGCAACTTGGATAGATCTCAAGGAAATTATGCTGAGTGAGAAAAGTCAATCTCAGGTTGTGATTTGTATGATTCCATTAATAACATTTATTTATTTATTTATTTATTTATTTATTTATTTATTTATTTATTTTTGGGAAAGAGTCCCACTGTGTTACTCAGGCTGGAGTGCAGTGGGACAATCTCGGCTCACTGCAGCCTCTGCCTTCCGGGTTCAAGTGATTCTCCTGTGTCAGCCTCCGGAGTAGCTAGGATTAAGGCATGTACCACCATGCCCAGCTATTTTTTTTTTTTTGTATTTTTAGTAAACACGGGTTTTCACCATATTGGCCAGGCTAGTCTCCAACTCTTGACCTCAAATGATCCACCTACCTCGACTTCCCAAAGTGCTGGAATTACAGGAGTGAGCCGCTGTGGCCAGCCCACAACATTCTCGAAATGATAAAATTATAGAGATAGAGAGCAGATGAGTAGTTGCTAGGCATTAGGGAGAGAGAAGGGAAGGAGGTGTCTGTGGCTATAAAAGGGTACCCTGAGGGATCCTTGTGATGGAACAGTTTTGTATCTTGACTGTAATGTTGTTCCTATGTGATATTTACACATGCAATAAAATTGTATAGAACTAAACACACACAAACAGATGAGTGTATGTAAAAATGGTGAAATCTGAGTAAGATTGGTGGATTTTATCAAAAATAATTTCCTGGTGTGATATTGTACTATATTTATGCAAGATGTTACCATTGGGAGAAACTGAGTGAAGGGTATGCTGGATCTTTATTTTTATTTTATTTTATTCTTTTGGAGACAGAGTCTTGCTCTGTCGCCCAGGCTGGAGTGCAGTGGCATGATCTTGGCTCACTGTAACCTCCGCCTCCTGGGTTCAAGCAATTCTCATGCCTCAGCCTCCCAAGTAGCTGGGATTACAGGCATGTGCCACCATGGCTAGGTAATTTTTGTATTTTTAGTAGAGACAGGGTTTTGCCATGTTGGTCAGGCTGATCTTGAACTCCTGGCCTCAAGCAATCTTCCCTCCTCTGCCTCCCAAAGTGCAAGGCTTATAGGAGCGAGCCACTGCACCCAGCCACTGAATCTTAATTACATCCTATAACTGTATGTGAATCTACAATTATGTCAAAATAAATTTTAAAAAATTTCTGCAGTCACAGCATCAATGACTTGTCTTTCCCAGCCAGCAAAGCCCTGTGTTTTGCTCTTATTGATTGGACTAATCCCTGTGGACAGAGAAATTCATGTGCCAGTTGGCTTAGGTTTGGTTTTACTACCTATTCCTGAACCAATTACTATGGCAAGGGGACTGAGATAATGCTCACTGGTCTATGCATCAAGACCCACTGAAAAATGTAATTGTCATTAGTCATCTAAATATAATTTATTTTTGAATTGGTTATGTGCTTCCCAACATTTAGCTATATTCTATTTCCTGGGGATAAAATCTTTGAAGACAGTGGGAGGAAAAGCTAATCTGACCCCTTCTTTCAAACAGCAAGGGGTTGAGGATTTCCTTGATTTTAACACAGGCATTTTGAATATGAGCAGACCATGCCTGGTAAACACACTAGACAAGATTCCTGCCCTTATGGAGCTGACAGGCCACTGGGGGCTGGATGGAGGCCGAGATGGTAGCTGTCTCCAAGATAGTCACTATCTTAGAGACCTCTCATATGCACATGACATTGGATCACCAAGATATGTAAGCTGGGCATCATGGCACATGCCTGTAGTTCCAGCTACTTGGGAGGCTAAGGTGGGAGGATTGCCTGAGCCCAGGAGTTTGAGGCTGCAGTGAGCTATGATCATGCCACTGCACTCCAACCTGGGCGACAGAGTGAGATCCTCATCTTAAAAAAAAAAAAGGCCGGGTGCGGTGGCTCGCACCTGTAATCCCAGCACTTTGGGAAGCCAAAGCAGGCAGATCACCTGAGGTCAGGAGTTCAAAACTAGCCTAAGCAACATGGAGAAACCCTGTCTCTACTAAAAATACAAAATTAGCTGGGCATGGTGGTGCATGCCTGTAATCCCAGTTACTTGGGAGGCTGAGGCAGGAGAATCACTTGAACCTGGGAGGTAGAGGTTGCAGTGAGCCAAGATCACACCATTGCACTCCAGCCTGGGCAACAAGAGTGAAACTCTGTCTCAAAAAACAAACAAACAAACAACAACAACAACAGAAAACAGGGTGCAGCCCACTCCTCCAGCCCCTTGAATCTGGTGGGCTGGCCTATGAGTACTGTGACTAACACTGTATGGCAGAAGTGATTCTATACCAGTGCCAGGCCAGGGCTGTAAGAGGGCTGACAGCCCCTGTCTTGTGTCTCTGAGTCCTGAGACACCATAGATATGTCTTTATTAGTCTCCTCAGGCTGGCATACAAAATACTAGATGGCTTAAAAAACGGGAATTTATTTGCTCACATTTTATTTTCTGGATACTGGAAGTCCAAGATCAAAGTCTGCAGGGTTGGTTTCTCCTGAGGTCTCTCTCCTTGGCTCGCAGGCAGCCGCCTTCTGACTATGTCCTCACATGACCTTTTCTCTGTGCGCATGCACCTCTGATGTCTCTTCTTCTTCTTATAAGGACACCAGTATTATCAGCTTAGGGCCTCACTCTTATGACATCATTTATCCTTAATTGTCATCCCTATAAAGATCCTATCTCCAGGCAGTCGCGGTGGCTCACGCCTGTAATTCCAGCAATTTGGGAGGCCGAGGCAGGTGTATCACTTGGGGCTGGGAGTTCAAGACCAGCCTGGCCAATATGGCAAAAGCCTGTCTCTACTAAAAATACAAAAATCAGCTGGGCATGGTGGTGCACACCTGTAATCCCAGCTACTCAGGAGGCTGAGACAGGAGAATCACTTGAACTCAGGAGGCAGAGGTTGCAGTGAGCCAAGATTGAGGCACTGCACTCCAGCCTGGGCAGCAGAGCAAAACTCTATCAAAAAAAAAAAATTATCTTCAAATATAGTCACATTGGGGGTTAAAATTCCAAAACATGAGTTGGGAGCTGTGTGTATGTGGTGGGCAGAGTGGACACAACTCAGTCCATAGTGATGTCCACCTACTCTACTACGGGACTCCATAAGGGGGGAGTGAGCTCATTGAGGCCATCCTTCCAGCCATTCCCTGAGAAAAGCATGAGGATTTTCAGTGAAGAGCAGCCCAACTACCAAATGGATACATTCTGAGTTGCCAGTTAATGCCAGGTGTTACAGAAAAATCATCCCAGTGAGCCCTACCTGTTGGGGCAGTTTGTTATGCAGTATGAAATAATCAGAATAAGGAGTTGCATTCAGTTATTAATCAAATCAATATGTGGTTACTAATTGTGACAACTTCTATGATGGAAGAGACAGGATGCTATGAGAAAGAATAACACAGTGGGTGGGAATGGCATCACAAACTGCAAGGGAGAAATAATTGAAGGACCTAGAGATGTTGGGCCTGAAGAAGATTTCAATGCTTTTGTGAGCTCTGGAACCATTTCTCTTCCCTTTCTGGGCTAAACTCCTTGAATAAGCGGATCCCTCCGCTTTCCTTGCAGGTGACCACTCCCTCCAGATCAGCCTCTCATAAAACTTTTCTCGTCTTCCCAGGTCACAACAATTTTTCCCTTTTTAACATTGTATTAGGCTGTGCCTGCACTGCTGTAAAGAAATACCTGAGGGCCGGGTGCAGTGGCTCACACCTGTAATCCCAGTACTTTGGGAGGCTGAGGCTTGCGGATCACTTGAGGTCAGGAGTTTGAGACCAGCCTGGCCAACATAGTGAAACGCTGTCTCTACTAAAAATATAAAAAAATTAGCTGTGTGTGGTGGCGTGTGCCTGTAATCCTAGCTACTTGGGAAGCTGAGGCAGGAGAATCGCTTGAACCTGGGAGGTGGAAGTTGCCGTGAGCCAAGATTGTGTCACTGTACTCCAGCCTTGGCAACACGGAGAGAGACTCCATCTCAAAACAAAACAAAACAAAAAAAGAGAAATACCTGAGACTGGGTAATTTATAAGAAAAGAGTTTTAATTGGCTCATGATTCTGCAGGCTGTACAGGAAGCACAGTGGCAGCTGCTTCTGCAGAGGCCTTGGGAAACTTCCGGGTTTTTTGTTTTGTTTTGTTTTTTTTCAGACGGAGTTTCTCTCTTGTTGCCCAGGCTGGAGTGCAATAGTGCTGTCTTGGCTCACTGCAAGCTCCGCCTCCCGGGTTCAAGCAGTTCTCCTGTCTCAGCCTCCAAGTAGCTGGGATTACAGGCGTGCACCACCGCGCTTGTCCAATTTTGTATATTTTTAGTAGAGACTGGTTTCACCATGTTGATCAGGCTGGTCTTGAACTCCTGACCTCAAGTGATCCACCTGCCTCGGCCTCCCAAAGTGCTGGGATTACAGGTGTGAGCCACTGCACCTGGCCTAGGAAACTTCGAATCATGGCGGAAAACAAAGGGGGAGCAGGCATATCGCCTAGCGAGAATGGAGCAAGGAGGCCCCACCAGACCCCACCTCCAATATTGGGGATTACATCTCAATGTGAGACAAATATCCAATTTGAGTGGGGACAAATATCCAAACTATATCAAACATTTTTAGAGTTTATGCTGTAGAGCATTTAATTGACATTAAATGATAAACTGTTTCATATTGTTAATTTATTGAGGTAAAATATACATAAAGGGAACAAGCCTTCAGTGTATAAGCTAATGAATTGTTACATGTGTGTACCCACCATCCAGATCAAGAGGAAAAATATTTTCAGCATCCAGGAAGGCTGTCTCATGTCTCTTTCCATCAGTATCCACTCCCAGAGGTTACTTAGAAAAAATCACTATTCCAAATTTCTAGAAGCATTGATTAATTCTGCCTGTTCTTGAACTTCATATGAAGAGACTCCTATCATGAGCACTTATTGGGGTTTTAAATTGTTGTCTGTTATGAATAAAGCTGCCCTAAACGTTCTGGTGGTATATGTCTGTTCATGGACAAATGCCCTCATTTCTAGGAGTGGAATTGCTAGTAGGCATATGTTTAGTTTTTTAGATAATGCCAAAAAATGTTCCATAGTGAATGTGCTAATTAACACTTCTAGCAGCAATGCATGAGAATTCTAGTTGCCGCACATATTACACCAACACTTGGTACAGCATATGTGTTTTAAAATATTTTAGCTGTTCAGGTGGATTTGTAGTGGTATCTCATTGTGGTTTTAATTTATATTTCCCTGCTAATTAATGATACTGAGCACATTTTCAAATTTTCTTTTGCTGGAGTGCAGTTATGCAATCATGACCCACTGCAGCCTCAACTTCCCAGGCTCACAGGATCCTCCTACCTCAGCCTCCTGAATAGCTCAGACTACAGGCACACGCCACCATGCCTGGCTAATTTTTTTTTTTTTTTTTTTGTAGAGATGGTGGGGCAGGGGGAGTCTTACTATGTTGCCCAGGCTGGTCTCGAACTCCTGGGCTCAAGTAATCCTCCCACCTCCTGAAGTGCTGGTGGCATTACAGCGTGAGCCACTGTCCCTGGCCTCATATGTGTACTATTTGAATGTAGTCTTTAGGGAAGTTCCTGATCAAGTCTTTTGTCATTAAAAAAAAATTATTTGTCTTTTTCTTGTTGATTTACAAGAGTGCTTTATATATTTAGGATGAGTCCTTTCTCAGGTATGTATTTTGCAAATGTTCCCTGCAATTTGTGGCTTCCATTTTTCATTTTCTTTTTCTTTTTTTTTTTTCGGGAGACAGAGTCTCACTCTGTTGCCAGGCTGGAGGGCAGTGGCACAATCTCGACTCACTGCAACCTCCGCCTCCCGGGTTCAAGTGATCCTCCTGCCTCAGGCTCCTGAGTAGCTGGGACTACAGGTGTGCGCCACCACGCTCAGCTAATTTTTGTATTTTTAGTAGAGACAGGGTTTCACTGTGTTGGCCAGGATGGTCTTGATCTCTTGACCTTGTGATCTGCCTCAGCCTCCCAAAGTGCTGGGATTACAGGCGTGAGCCACCACGCCCGGCCTCCATTTTTCATTTTCTTAATGATGTTTTTTGATGAATAGAAGTTTCCAGTTTTGATGAATTTTATTTCATCGACTTTATTGATTTATTTTTAAAATTTTTACACTTATTTATTTATTTAATAGACATGGGTTCTCACTGTGTTGCCCAGGCTAGAGTGCAGTGACTGTTCACAGGGGCTATCATTGTGCACTACGACCTCAATTTCCTGGGCTCAAGCGATCCTCCCACCTCAAGCCTCCTGAGTAGCTGGAACTACAGGTGGGTGCCTGTTTAACTTTTTTTTTTTTTCATTTTGGTTACTCTTTCCTGTTTTTGAAATCTTTGCGTACCTTACATTCATTAACATATCCTCTTTCTAGAAGCTTTACTTTCCCTGTCATACTTAGGTGTATGGTCCATTATGAATTCATTTTTGTGTTTGGTGTGAGGCAAAGGTCTAGATTTAGTTTTTTTCCTAATTGGTCCAGCACCTTTTATTGAAAAGTTATATCATAAATTTGTAAATGCATTTCTGTCTATTCACCTCGTTTTAACCACTATGTCCAAAAAGCAGAAAATAGCTGCACTAATGGAAAACCAGTTCACCAGATTTACTTATTCTGTTTTTTTTTTAAGACGGAGTCTCCCTCTGCCGTCCAGGCTGGAGTGCAATGGCATGATCTCGGCTTACTGCAACCTCCTGCCTCAGCCTCCTGAGTAGCTGGGACTACAGGTGTGCACCACCATGTCTGGCTATTTTTTTTTTTTTAAGACAGTGTCTGGCTCTGTCGCCCAGGCTGGAGTGCAATGGCGTGATCTCGGCTCATTGCAACCTCCACCTCCCCGGTCCAAGCAATACTCTTTCCTCAGCCTCCTGAGTAGCTGGGACTACGGGCAGCCACCACCACGCCACCACGACCAGCTGATTTTTATATTTTTAATAGAGACGGGGTTTGACCATGTTGGCCAGGATGGTCTCGCTCTCTTGCCCTCGTGATCCCCGCACCTTGGCCTCCCAAAGTGCTGGGATTACAGGCATGAGCCACCGCACGCGGCCTATTTTTTGTATTTTTAGTAGAGATGGAGTTTCACCATGTTGGCCAGGGTGGTCTTAAACTCCTGACCTCAAGTGATCCGCCCGCCTCAGCCTCCCAAAGTGCTGGGATTACAAGTGTGAGCCACCACACAAGGCCTACTTGTTCTTTTTAACTAATTATAACATTTACAGCAACTCATATGTTGAAGCGGTTTTAACAGCTTTAAAAGGTTTCTGTGGGATTATCATTGACCTGTTTTTACTTTGTCTTAGTGATAGCTTTGTAGGAAAGATTAATTTTTCCTTAGCCCAGCAGAGAGAGGTGAGACTGATGGACATAAAAAGAAAATACTCAAGAAAATATATTAATCAATAGTGTATTTTATTATTAGAATACATCCATAAGAATCCTTTATATTTATGCCTACACTCTTCATGAATCTCTTCTTGTGGACATATTTATTTACTTATACATTTCTTAATTCAACATATATTTATTGAATACATTTTTGAATATGGCAATATACATTCATATTTGTTATTATTATTATTATTACGAGATGGAGTTTCACTCTGTTGCCCAGGCTGGAGTGCAGTGGCGCCATCTCAGCTCACTGCAACCTCTGCCTCACAGGTTCAAGGGATTCTCGCGCCTCAGCTTGGGAATACAGGGGTCCGCCACCACGCCCATCTATTTTTTTGTATTTTTAATAGAGACAGGGTTTCACCATGTTGGCCAGGGTGGTCTTGAACTCCTGACCTCAGGCAATCCGCCTGCCTCGGCGTCCCAAAGTGCTGGGATTATAGGCATGAGCCACCGTGCCCAGCCTCATATGTATAATTTTTAGTTAAATTAATAAATTAATATTTATGGTTTTCATCATTATGACTTTGTAATATTTTTCACAGCTGAGCTCCATGGTATACCATAATTACCTTCTTTGACAACCTTTTGTTCTTCCTGGGATTAATAATTGCCTCCTGTTCTTTGCTTACTTTTCTAAATATTTATTCCTAATTCAATACCAGCTTTCTGACACTATTTTCTCGTCAAATGCATGAGGCAGTATGTCAGTTCCATTTTCCCCCATTGGAAACAACCCTCGTTTAGCCCTCTTTTTTCTATTCCACCGTAGACTGATTGCCTTCTAGCCTGGTAGCTCAGCAGTTGCCCCGGAGTTTTTTCCTTTACCTTTCTCCTGTGTTAGGTCCCCAGTCACCGGATTTCATATTTCCTTTTTCTTAGTTTAATTCCCTAGTTAGTGGACAATTCTCCAGAAGCTTTCTGAGAAAAGGTACTTGGGAGATAATGTTCTGCAAATGTCCATTCACATTTGATTGATAGTTTGGCTGGGTTCAGAAATCTAGTTGTGGAAACTATTTTCCTTTATTGAAATGATTTAGAAGGCATTGCCTCATTGTCTTTCAGCTTTTGGTGTTGGTGCTGCTGTGGAGAAAAAAAGATGACATTCTAATTCATAATCCTTTCTGTGCAATCTTTTAGTTTTGTTTTCCTTCTGGAAACATTTAGGATATTCACTTTATTCGTCTGATATTTCACAATGACAAGCTTTATTGTGGGGCTTTGCCACACCCTATGCAGGGTAGTTGGTGGGCCTTTTAAATCTGGAGACTTAAGGTCTTTGGTTCTGAAAAATAATCTTATATTACATCTTTATCTCCTTTATTCCACTTTCTCCTCTTTTCCTAGAATCCCTGTTAGTTTGTTGGCATATCTTCTATTATACACCATTTTATTTTCTTATCAATTCTTTGCTATTTTCCATCATTCACCCCAAACTTTCCAGATTTCTACAACCTTATTTTGAAATTTTAGGCCAGGCGCAGTGGCTCACAACTGTAATCCCAGCACTTTGGGAGGCTGAGGCGGGCGGATCACCTGAGGTTGGGAGTTCGAGACCAGTCAGACCAACATGGAGAAACCCTGTCTTAACTAAAAACATAAAATTAGCCGGGCGTGGTGGCGCATGCCTGTAATCCCAGCTACTCTGGAGGCAGAAGAATCTCTTGAACCTGGAAGGCAGAGGTTGTGGTGAGCCGAGATTGCATCATTGCACTCCAGCCTGGGCAACAAGCGCCAAACCCCGTCTCAAGAAAAAAAAAAAAGAAATTTTTAAAAATCCAGCCATCATAATATTATTAATAATTTTAAGAACTCCCCTCCTTTTTGTTTCATGAGTGCAGTATCTTCTCTTACTTTCCCGAGGATTAATTATAATTTTTAAAAAATCCAACTTCCTGCATTGTATTTGTTTCCTCTTAGGTTCTTCCTGCCCCCTTCTGTTTGTATTCGTCCTTGTCTTATTGTAGAAATATTTTCACAACCACCTGATTATCCTTGGTTGTCGTACATATTTTAAGTAAGGCACTAAACACCTGATTCTGGAAGCTCTGTGGACCTGCTCCAAGCCTGTAGACTGCAGAGTCTTTGGGGATTCTATGGAGACCCAGCCATTTCTTTGGGAGATCCTCAAATACCAGTGTTTGTCGTTGTTTTAATTTTTATTTTTTCCTTGTAAATTGACTTGGATATCTCATCTGTCTTTCTTTATCTCTGGAAAACTTTATCCCAGTTTCCCTTGACATACTCCTTCAACCTCCTGGGAGAGGTAGGGGGAGGGGAGATGAGCCTGTTTGACTAGTTCTGGGAATGTGGTGAGGGAAGAGATCTGGGGATTTCGGCTCTGTGCTGACACTTCCTTCATGCTACTCTGGTTTAGCACCCCTGCACTTCACCCTCTTTCAACTCCTGACCAAGTCAACTCCTGTTACTCACATCGACAGTCATTTTTCATGTTCAAGACCCCTGAACCGCTCTCATCCCCCACTCTCCGCTAACTCTCCTGCTTCGCTTCAGGTCTACATTGCCTCGCTCATTTCTTCCCTGCTGAGCTCTTTGATTAGTTTGCTAAGCAGCATCTCGGGAACAGCCCCCGTGCTATGTGTTCTTTCTTGTCATGGATATGTGTTTTTTCTTGTCATGCTATGTGTTCTTTCTTGTTCAAGGCAGAGTCGCGGCTGGGTTGTTAGGATGCTCGCGCCCCTGTACCCGGGGCGTGCAGGGAAGTGTAAGAAGGGGGCGAGGGGCGAGAAACGCTGAATTCTAGCCTGAATTGGTAGGAGAGCCTCGCAAGCTGAGTCACGGTTCCTGATTCCATTTAAATAGAACGTTTTGTTCACTTGTAGGAATTTCCTTTTCCATTTCTTTCATTAAATCGCGAACGTAGTAATGACTTAACGCTGGTTACGCATTCATTACAATCGAAGATTATATTAATTTGCGATGGTAAGTGTCCCAGGTGTCAGGATGGCCGAGTGGTCTAAGGCGCCAGACTCAAGCTTGGCTTCCTCGTGTTGAGGATTCTGGTCTCCAATGGAGGCGTGGGTTCGAATCCCACTTCTGACACAACTATCTTATTCTCCTTTTACTCTACTTTCTCAGCCATTTCTGTGTTTTCATTCTTTCTACCTCAACTTTTTTTATTCTAACTAAAATGATACACTCTCAATGAGGTCTGCCCCCTTGCTTTTCAGTCTTGTTCGCTGTTTAGTAGTGAATCACGTTTTGCCCCGCTTTGGTCAGTTCGTTAAAAGGCGCATTCATTTACCACATGAGCACTCACCCAGAGGCGTACTGGGAGGAAACTAGACTAGGTAGGAATAGAAAGACATGTATACAGACTCCATCATTACATACTGGCCCTGAGCTCATAGGTTATTGGGACCGCAGATTACATGTTTTTCCTCACGGCCAGAAACCATCAAAAATAAAAGTGATGAAACTGAAATTGAAAGCAGCAAGGTTCACGCTCAAGGTTATCGGAAACAAGGCAAAAGGAGAGAAATGAAAGGTTCCACCGAGATTTGAACTCGGATCGCTGGATTCAGAGTCCAGAGTGCTAACCATTACACCATGGAACCCTACTTAACAAAAAACGGATACTCGATCCACCTGGGGTCTCTCTTGTCTTCTACTTACTAATTGATTTAAAGTAATTTTGCAGGGGCAGTTTTTTTGTTTTGGATGGCCAAACGCAGGGATGGGAGGGGTAGGGCTCACACACTGTTTCCACCGCGCCTTTCTCCCAGATTTCTTTCCATCCTTCGGGGCAGGGCAGTATACTGATCTGGGAATATGGTTATTCCTGGAGATTTTTATTTTCTTTCGTTTCCAGCCCACGAAAAGGTGAATTGAATTTTAGTCTCACGGTTTGAAAGGGAGAAAAGAGAGAAAAGAAAAAATATACTATCTACTTTCTACAGTCTTATTTATTCATTGTACGATACCTACAGATGCCTCTAGAACAACCTCCGAGTATCTTGGCACTGCCCCTCAGTTGTAACCATGGGCTTAAATTTTTAAAATCTGTCTCCCGCATTCCTCCAAAATGCCTTAAGTGCAGGGCTGAGTCTCAGTAGTCTTTGATAGCCCACGGTCTGCTACTTTGTAGAAGCTCAACCAATGCTTGTTGCATGAATGCATAAATGAAAGGATGAGTGAATGAATGAATGAATGAATGAATGAATACTCAGTGGGACAGCCCAGCTTAGACTTTTGGGAGACTTTAGACTTCTTTTTTGCCTTCACTTGCTAGGCTAAATTTTACAAGTTCAAAAGGGAATAATTATTTCTCCTCCTCCTCCTATCTTCTTTTGCCTTTCCAGGTCCCAGCTCCCAGGTGGACATCTTAGCGTCCAGATGACCCAACATATAGGTGTCCTTTAGTATGGATGACCAAACTAGGATGTTATAGTGCTGGATGTAGTAATTCATTTTTTCAAATCTTAACTTTATTAAGATAACATGGTTATTTATCTAGTAATTGTGAGAACAACATATAACAAATAGACCACATATATACGTAGCGTGTCTGGAAGAAATACTCAGATATAAATTACTACTTTAGTCAATCTTAATATTAATTATTTGTCAACTATGCTTAATGTGCCTCTCTAGTCTCTCAAGACTAAATTGCTAAGGAACCCTGGAATCATTTGCTGGCATTCATCCTTTCAAGCAAGGTGCCTGTTACAAAATATCTGCTCAATTAGTATGTATTGGATACATCTTTTGGAAGGTGAGGAAGGAAGCAGTGAAATTAGAAGACTTCTGCCTAGGCGACTGTAAAGTGCTCCTAAGCATCTACCCACCTCCCTGCACACAAAAACTCTCCATTCTATCTCCTCGAGTCTCCTAGCCTTAAAAGATGGTCTAAACTACCCCAGATCCAGGTAAATAACGGATCAAGTCCTTCTTCCCTAAAACAGGTGTTATTCTTTCTATTCTATGAGCCTCCACCTTATTTCTTAAAAAAAAAAAAGAAAAAAATGTTTACTGTTTAAGAAGATAACAGAATCTCAAAAGCTAACTCTTCAACTGTGTTCAACTAAGGACCTTAAACTGCTCTCTGAGGATAGGTGAAGCGGGAAAGGCTCTAGGTGTCTGGTGACTGTTTCTTTTGTTGGTTCGTTTGTTTTTTCAGCCTTAGCACATTTATCCCTTGGAGAAGACAATGGAAAATAGGGCAGATGAGCGTGCGTGGCTTATTTATTCTTGAGTCTGGAGTTAAGAAGGTTGTACTTTTTCCTTAGGATTGCCCTTGGTTGGTTCACAAATTTCGCAAAGTGAATGAAAACACATGAAGGCCACTGAAGGGAATAACTAGGGGACGAGATGTCTGAGCCCCTAAATCGAGAAACATTTGGGCACCGTTTGTGGGACTGTACATATAGGTGTTATCTGTGGCCCCTAGGAAAACAGAAGAGGAACCTGTCTCACTTAGGAAGCTGTGAGAACTGCCCACACAAGGCTTGAAAATGGAACTTTACTGGGTCAGAATGACGAGGGGGAAAAAAAAAAAATACCTCACACTGGCAGCGGTGGGATTCGAACCCACGCCCCCGAAGAGACTGGAGCCTTAATCCAGCGCCTTAGACCGCTCGGCCACGCTACCACCCACAGGGTGCGTCGCCGCTTTCAGTTTCACCCAAGTGACTGTCGCCCCTTTCCAGTCCTTTCATTCCCATTCCCACATCACCATAAGCCCTTCCCTCAGGCCCCTTCTTCAGCATTCCTTGCTTCTCAGCATAGCCCGAGAACCCCCGATCCCTGACACTTTGCTTCTTCTCAGCTCCCAGATGGATCCTGGACAGGATGCTGCAGGTGGTGCAGGAGGGGAATCCTGCCCCATTTATCATCAACACAGTAAAAAGGGGTCGAAGAGACCGAGAGCGCCAGAGGACGCCATGGGCTCCACATCCACTTGGATTCCAGGAAGTAAGCCTCTCGACTTCAGGAGTAAGCAAGGCCAACCGTTTGGTTTGAGCCTGTTGCTTCTAAGAAAAGCGAGGAAAAATCCTGAGACCTCCTCCCCTCGCCCTTCATCCACTTCAGGGGACCGAGTGTCTCCACGGAACTTCACAAGGGAGGAAAAGAGTGAACTCATTATTATTTGTCTTGTCTTCGTTTCAGAGGCGGTACATCTACGAAAGCCCTAATCATAGAGGGAAAGACTCCTCGTTCCTGGCCCAGAAATGAGATGAGAAATCTAGGGCCCCGTACAGGAAGGCCTTTCGCAAAGTCCAGACTCAATTGCCTTCGCAGCCCTTAAAGTTTCCTTAGGAAGGTCTGTGGGAGAACGAGGTTGGTTTAGGAATTGGCCCCTGCCTTGTACTACGTAGTTTTGTCATCCAAAGTGTTTTAGAAGTGAATTGAATCATAGTTACGCCTTATTTTGAAACACTGTAATTCAGAGAACGTAAAACCTTATTAAAATGCCTCATAATCATCTTGGTAGAGCCGTTGGTTAAGCGGGAGAGACAGTTGCCTCCTTAGCGCAGTAGGCAGCGCGTCAGTCTCATAATCTGAAGGTCCTGAGTTCGAACCTCAGAGGGGGCAAGGCGTCTGTTTTGCCATTTTACTTCTTCTTGACCCAAAATGAGTAAGACAACAAAGGAAGTTGACAAAACGTTGTTCTTTCTCTATAGAAAAGTGTACAATATGTCTGGTAAGGGAAAAAAAAATCTAAGGACATTGCTTTGATGGAACAGAACGGGTAATTGCTGTTTAATAGAACCATGTTCAGTTACAAAACAGTGATTTTCACTAAGAATTAAATTCTCCAAAATTCTCATCTCCCCTCCCGCCCTGCATACCAATTGGAGATAGAGCTGGTAGCATTTTCAAATGTTTTTCAGATATGCTTGGCAATTGTCTTTGTTTTAACAACACCAGAGTCAAGAAACTTGCCAGTTTTAGAGTGCTGAGATAAGAAAAAGTGGGTGGAGGGTTGTACTAGGGGTGTGGAAGGTATAGAATCTAATTATCAATTACTGACTTGGTTATCTTTTACCATTCTTCTGGAATGGCTTACCACCAGGTTGCCACCAATAACATTCCATATGAAAAAAGAAAGGAAACAAAAAACTGACAAAAAACTCCCCCCTCAGTCTCATTGCATTGGACCTTTTCTCTTGCTTCCAGTCCTGTTGACTGGATCTAAATCATCCAAACTACCAGATGCAGGAAGGGGTAAAAAGAGAAACAAGAAGTGAAGAAGATAGGCTGATATTTACAGTCAAGATGAGCCCCTGACTCAAATAATAATGAGCAAGACTGATCATTAATGTCCTGCTCTTGAGTCCTACTTTGTTCCAAGCTGTGTTCCTATTAATCCATTCCCTCTCAGCTTTAAAATCACCCTTATATACTTTGTTTTGTGACATTGGGGCTGGGCGCCTGCAAATGATATTTCCCAAACTCCTTTGCCCATTGGCTTCCTCTTGTGTTCTGTCAATAAGAGGAACCAGAAAGAGACTAGAAAGCAAGAGGAGAGAAGCAGGGGCTGCTTTCTAAATTTTGTTCTTCCTGTCAGGTCACTCCAACAATGGCAGTTGAATCCCATCTCTATTTGTTCTCTTCATGCATTCCAGAATGTCTCACTGTCCATTACATAAGTAAGTAGTAGTCCAGCTGCAGCGCGTCCTCTTTAGCACTCCAGGATGCCTTTCCTCAGTGGTCTCAACCTCTTCCTTTTTGTTCTTCCAGCCCTACAAGGTGGTAGCTACTTCCCAGTAGTTATCACCTCTGAGTTACCATGGTGTGCCCAGTTGAAATACCTAGTCTTATTCCTTTTTTTTTGAGACAGAGTCTTGTTCTGTCACCCAGGCTGGAGTGCAGTGGCACAATCTCAGCTCGCTGCAACCTCTGCCTCCCGGGTTCAAGCGATTCTCCTGCCTCAGCGTCCCAGGTAGCTGGAATTACAGGCGCCCGCCACGACGTCCAGCTAATTTTTGTATTTTTACCAGAGACGGGGTTTCACCATGTTGGCCAGGCTGGTCTTGAACTCCTGACCTCAAGTGATCTGCCCGCTTCGGCCTCCCAAAGTGCTGGGATTACAGATGTGAGCCACCGTGCCCAGCCTTATTTCTTAACTAGACCCTGAACCACACATAGGGGGTGCAGGGATAGCACTCCACACAACAGAAAAAGCTTCTGCTCTCATGGAGTTTACATTTTAGTGGGGAATGATAAAGAATAAATTCAACCAGATATATAAAATGTGAAGTAGTGATACATGCCATGAAGGAAAAGAGCAAGAGAATGGAGAACAAAGGGGAGGGGATTGCTTTATAATAAAGGGTGACCAAGGAGGCCTTCCTGATAAGGAGGCATCTGAACAGAGACTTGAAGGAAGTGAGTGAGTGAGCTGTGAGGCTATCAGGGAGAAGAGAATTTCAGGCCAAGGGAACAGTAATTACAAAAGGCTTGGCAGGAATGCCATTGGCATGTTCAAGGAACGAAGGAGGAGACTAGTGCAGCTGTAGGTCAGTAAACAAGGGAGAACTTGATAGGAGATGAGGGGGTTAGATACACATAGACCCTACAGGATGCACATAGATCATGCAGGGTCTCAGAGGTCATGATCATGTTCAGAGAGGGAATTCGCTGCATAGGGGAGAGAAAAGACAACAGTGATTTAAGTTGTGGAGGTCAGCCAGACCTTGAGAATATTCTGATTCATGAGTCTGAGATAGAATCTGTGAATCTTTTTTTTTTTTTTTGAGATGGAGTTTCACTCTTGTTGCCCAGGCTAGAGTGCAATGGCACGATCTCGGCTCACGGCAACCTCTACCTCCTGGTTCAAGCGATTCTCCTGCCTCAGCCTCTGGAGTAGCTGGGATTACAGGCATGCGCCACCACGCCCGGCTAATTTTGTGTTTTTAGTAGAGATGTGGTTTCTCCATGTTGGTCAGGCTGGTCTCGATCTCCTGGCCTCAGATGATCCATGCACCTGGGCCTCCCAAAGTGCTGGGATTACAGGTGTGAGCCACTGCAACTGGCCTGAATCTGAGTTTTTAACAGTGACTCCAGGAGATTTGAATGCCATCAGTGTGGCAACATTTTGGAAGCCCCAGTCAAGGACTTACTCGGCCTATATTCATTTATCCTATGTTGACCGTCTCTGGAGAGATCATTTCCTCCCAAAATTCTCCTCATTTTTGTTTAGTCATCCAGGGCTTGCTTACTGGTTAAAACTAGGAGCACTTGCCTCATCAAGAGCAGAATAAATGCTCTATGCTTCCCAGAGAACTCTCAAAAGCTACAAGGTGCCATTTCCTATTCTGCTTTATTTCTAATTTTTCTTTTTTCTTTCTTTCTTTTTTTTTTTTTTTTGAGATGGAGTCTTGCTCTGTCACCCAGGCTGGAGTGTAGTGGTGTGATCTCGGCTCACTGCAACCTCTGCCTCCCAGGTTCAAGTGATTATTTTGCCTCAGACCCTTGAGGTAGCTGGGACTACAGTCATGCACCACCACACCTGGCTCATTTTTGTGTTTTTAGTAGAGATGCGGTTTCATCATGTTTGCCAGGCTGGTCTGGAACTCCTGACCACAATTGATTTGCCCACCTCTGCCTCCCAAAATGTTGGGATTACAGGTGGGAGCCACTGGCCTCGCCCTGTTTTGCTTTATTTCTGCCTTTCCCTGTAAAGAGCTTTTCTTGGTAAATAAGCAGCTGAGACATCTTGACACCTCCTGCCCTCCAGGTTCCCAGGGGCAGTCTGGGCCCAAGTTTTCTTTCTTCTAGCTGTTCCCCAGTTTCTCTGCATCATTCCTCCCCACTGCCATGTCTCGATGGCCTTCTTCTGCACAATGGCCTAATTTATGTTTTTGCATCACCTCTTCCTCCATTCTGACTCATTCTTTACATAAAGCCAGTGTACTCTTAAAAGTAATCTCATCATGTCATTTCTTCCTGCTTAGAATTCCCAGTGGCTTCACATTGCTGCTAGGGTGCAGTCAGCTCTCTGCACTACTAGCCATAACCTCTGAGCCTGTGAGTCACTGGTCTGTCCCTGCCTTCCTGTCCACCTCAGACCCCACCTTCATGAACACTCTCTTGAGCTCTCTGTACACAAGCTGCTCAGGCCTTCTCTCAGGTGTCTGGAAGTGTTCTGCTCTTTAATCTCCCTGGAATGCTGGAATCACATTTTTGTCCAACTAGGCCTTTAGTTTTCAGTTTAAACATCACTTCCTGGGAGAAGTCTTCTCTAATCCCCTGGAAGAGGTCATCTCCCTTTATAATCCATGCTCTTGAAGATAGAGGGCAGGGTGTGATTTACAGTGTGCGATTTACAGTGTGCATTATTTTGTCTCACCTTACTTTTCTCTATGTTCCCTTTATCTTGATTTAAATTAACATTTTTCACTTTATTTTATAGTATAGTTGTGTAAATAACCTCGAATCTGTTTTTCAATAGTAGCATAAATAAATGCACGATCAGAAATGTACATGACAACCATTGTGCTAGACCTAGCCTTTGAGGGATTTCTGCTGTGAGATTAAAGTGGTCAAGAGATTAACAAACTTGTCTAAAGTGGCACAAGCAAAATGGTTAAAATACAGTATTCTAAATGATCCACTTTACAATAAGAATAATTGTGATAACACCTAATTTTCATGGAAATGTCACCAAGCGTTTGCTTACATTATCTCGTTTAATTTGCAAAGTAAGGTCATGAGATTTTGCTTGTTTTTCCTCAACATTTTGTAACCTGAACGTTTTCTCAAGAGCATGTGTTACAGTGACTGTTTAAACAGTGTAATTTGTCGTTTAACGGCTGCTTTTCACTTGTAAAATATGAACGCCCCAAGGGCTGAGGTAGTGTGTCCGGAATTGGTGGGTTCTTGATCTCACTGACTTCAAGAATGAAGCCACGGGCCCTCGCGGTGAGTGTTACAGCTCTTAACGTGACGTGTCTGGAGTTTGTTCCTTCTGATGTTCCCATGTGTTAGGAGTATTCTTCTTTCTGGTGGGTTCGTGGTCTCGCTAACTCAGGAGTGAAACTGCAGACCTTCGGAAAGAGTATTACAGCTCTTAAGACAGCACGTCTGGAATTGTTCGCTCTTCCTGCTGGGCTTGCGCTTTCGCTGATTTCAGGAAAAAAGCTGCAGACCTTCACGGTGAGTCTTACAGCTCATAAAAGCAATGTGGACCCAAACAGTAACCAGTCGCAAAATTTATTGCAAAGAGCAAAAAAAAAAACAACACTCCACAATATGGAAGAAGAGCCGAGCGGGTTGTGGATGCTGGCTCCGGCAGCCTGCTTTTATTCTCTTAGCTGGCCCCACCCACATCCTGCTGATTGGTAGAGCCGAGTGGCCTGTTTTGACAGGGTGCTGATTGGTGCATTTACAATCCCTGAGCTAGATACAAAGGTTCTCCACGTCCCCACCAGATTAGTTAGATACAGAGTTTTGACACACAGGTTCTCCACGGCCCCACCAGAGCCGCTAGATACAGTGTCGATTGGTGCACTCACAAACCCTGAGCTAGACACAGGGTGCTGATTGGTGTGTTTACAAACCTTGGGCTAGATACAGAGTGCCGATATGTGTATTTACAATCCCTGAGCTAGACATAAAGATTCTCCACGTCCCCACCAGACTCAGGATCCCAGCTGGCTTCACCCAGTGGATCCCGCACCGGGGTTGCAGGTGGAGTTGCCTGCCAACCCCACGCCATGCGCTCGCACTCCTCATCCCTTGGGTGGTCGATGGGACTGGGTGCCGTGGAGCAGGGGGCGGCGCTCGTCGGGGAGGCTCGGGCTGCACAGGAACCCACGGAGGCGGGGGAAGGCTCAGGCATGGCAGGCTGCAGTCCCGAAGCCTGCCCCGCGGGAAGGCAACTAAGGCCCGGCGAGAAATCGAGCGCAGCGCCGGTGGGCTGGCACCTCTGGGGGATCCAGTACACCCTCTGCAGTCGCTGGCCCGGGTGCTAAGTCCCTTATTGCCCGGGGCCGGCAGGGCCTGCCGGCTGCTCCGAGTGCGAGGCCCGCCAAGCCCACGCCCACCCGGAACTCCAGCTGGCCCGCAAGCGCCGCATGCAGCCCCGGTTCCCGCTCGCGCCTCTCTCTCCACACCTCCCTGCAAGCTGAGGGAGTGGGCTCCGGCCTTGGCCAGCCCAGAAAGGGGCTCCCACAGTGCAGTGGTGGGCTGAAGGGCTCCTCAAGTGCCGCCAAAGTAGGAGCCCAGGCAGAGGAGGCGCCCAGAGCAAGCGAGGGCTGTGAGGACTGCCAGCACGCTGTCACCTCTCAGTAGTACTTCTCCACTGCAGGAAACCCGGGGCAAAGCTGAGAGCCTTGCTCAAAATAAGTTCTCAAAACCTATTTTTTTTTTTTCTGGAGTCTCACTCTGTCACCAGGTTGAAGTGCAGAGGCAAGATCTCGGCTCCCTGCAACCTTCGCCTCCCGGGTTGAAGCGATTCCCTTGCCTCAGCCTCCCGAGTAGCTGGGACTACAGGCGTGCGCCACCACGCCCGGCTAATTTTTTTGTATTTTAGTAGAGACGAGGTTTCACCATGTTGGCCAGGATGGTCTAGATTTCCTGACCTTGTGATCGCCCGCCTCGGCCTCCCAAAGTGCTGAGATTACAGGCGTGAGCCACCGCGCCCGTGTGCCAGGTGTTCTTAAGGTCGCAGGGAAGACTGGAGCATAACCTTTGAAGACTAAAGACAAGACAAACCCGGCGATTACGTCTGTAGTTATACATTGCTTTTACAAGTAATTGTTTGGAGTACATTACACAAAGATGGGAGTTAATTTTTTCCATGAGTTGGGGACAAAAATAACTGTGAGCCATATTCAAAGTGGGCAAAAGCATAGATGGGAATAAAGAAAAGGAACATGGATAGGATTTAAGTTGGACGATATCAAGTTTCTGCACCTTTTTACTCACTAGAATGTGCAGGAAGAAGGCTTTTGCAGGGAGCCCGGATAGCTCAGTCGGTAGAGCATCAGACTTTTAATCTGAGGGTCCAGGGTTCAAGTCCCTGTTCGGGCGGGAGTGGTGGCTTTTAGTACCTGATTCTGGTATCATGTTTGAAAAAGCCAAAAAGGACACTATCGTTTTATAGGGACAGATTTCATATACTGCAAAAATTCACCAAACCCTGTAGAACCCCAAATTTTAAACCACGAATAGGCGAGTAACTCTGATGCCAAATAAAAGTAGTAAGGTGAATACATGGGCCCTCTACAGTGAGATAGCCCCAGATTTTCTGAAGAAAACTAACATTTAAGGACAACCTTAGAATACGAAGTATTTAATATTTTATGATTCCTGTTACTCTGCTTACAGGTGCCAAAGTAATCTTCTGTTGTTACTTGCTTTCCAGTGCAGAGTTTATTTTACGTAGGAGGGAATATACTGATCAATTATCAAGAAAGTTATAATATGTTCATATTCTGGCTTGGCATATTTCTGGCATTTAGTTACCGTGAGTCAGCCCTGCAAGTCTTAAAAACTCTAGGTGAATTTAAAAATAGTTTCCGGCCGAGCGCTGTGGCTCACGCCTGTAATCCCAGCACTTTGGGAGGCCGAGGCGGGCGGATCTCGAGACCATCCTGGCCAACACGGTGAAACCCCGTCTCTACTAAAAATACAAAAATAATTAGCTGGGCGTGGTGGCGGGCGCATGTAGTCCCAGCTACTCGGGAGGCTGAGGCTGGAGAAGGGCGTGAACCCGGGAGGTAGAGCTTGCAGTGAGCCGAGATTGCGCCACTGCACTCCAGCCTGGGCGACAGAGCGACTCCGTCACAAAAAATAAAAATAAAAATACATAAAAATAATTTCTGACGGGGCGCGGTGGCTCACGCCTGTAATCCCAGCACTCTGGGAGTCCGAGGCGGGCAGATCACCTGCGGTCAGGAGTTCGAGACCAGCCGGGCCAACATGCTGAAACAGTCTCTACTAAAAATACAAAAATTAGCCGAGAGTGGTGGTACGCGCCTATAATCCCAGCTACTTGGGAGGCTGAGGCAGGAGAATAGCTTGAACCAGGGAGGCAGAGGTTGCAGCGAGCCGAGATCGCACGGCTCCACTCCATCCTGGTAGACAGAGGGAGACTCAAAATAAATAATACAAATAAGTAAATAAAATAAAAATAGTGTCTGATTCTGCAAAGGAGAGGAACAGACTCTGAATTGTGATGGCTCCAATAAGGATAAAGCAGTCTCTGGAGAGCTGCCTGAACAGCCAGACAACCCAGCTCTTAGGCTTCTCCCAAATCTTTAACAGCATTTCCTTAACTGTGGTAGATGCAGGCTCCTGGAACCAGAGGCCTAGGGTCCAGACGAAATTGTTAAGATGTTCCCTATAAAACGCTTCCTTAAGTCGGCAACAGAATGAACTGTTAAGAGAGCTGTCCTGAAATACAGACCCCTGAGGTCCAGACATGTTGGAGGAGAGCCCTCTCTTTTTGCAGCACGGACTGGGCCAGAGAGGTATAGCCTGCAAGATGAATTTCAGTATGTGTAACTGCTGGGGTGATGATTGCAAGTAATCTAAGTTTGAGATGTTGATTGTGTGGAATAAGATAGTGACAAGAAGCATGGAAAGAAAACCATAACATTTAATATGCAAATTAAATGATTGATTTGAGAAATACTTGTTTATCAGATACCGTGCTAGGCACTGAAAATATAGAACTGGATAAAACAAATTCAGTCTCTAACGGAATTTACAGTCTAGGAGGATGGGTGGGCAACAGACAATAAAAACGTTAAAAAATAAAAGAACAAGGAAACTTTATATAGTAAAAAATTCTATGAAGAAAATAAAACAGCTTGAGGTTGATGTGATGGGAGGTTGGTGAGTGAAAGAAGGGATGGTGTGTTGGTTTCCTAGGGCTGCCACAACAAATTGAATATCAGGTTTTCATCTGTCTATTCATTTTTTCAATAAATTAAGTTGCACCAGTAGAAGGATACTGTCCCACGAGGGAATTGAGGTCAGAAGAACTCGGAGAAAACAGCAAGCCCACTGGAAAGAGATGATACTCATAAGAAGAACTAAAAGAGATTTACTAGAACTTGATAAGCCGTCGGGACAAAGAGAGCTGAGACTTCGTCTGTCTGACAACATATGCCGGGCCCGGCAATTATAGAGATAATTGTATACTGAACAAATAGGGTTATTTGTGGAAGTTGGGGACAAAATGGCAGCTGCCCCCTCTGAGGTTCGAACTCAGGACCTTCAGATTATGAGACTGACGCGCTGCCTACTGCGCTAAGGAGGCAGACAACTAGTGCTCCTCAGCAGGTGTTTTCAACACTGATTTTTACCTTATTTAAACATTTTTGTCTACATTACCTTTATTTTAAATTTCTAAAATAAAATATTCTTATGAAACTTCTCAAAGCTCACCAGCTTCCAAAACCTGAATCAGATGAAGAAAGTCGCTGCTGATCCCGCTGCTTTTGCCCCTCTTATTCTGAACTGATGACCCCCCACTTCTCACCTTAGGTGGAAAATTTCCAAAACGTCCTGTCCAGAAACCTGACAATTAACCTGCACGGGCGTCCATCCATTTTGTCTGGAGAGATCAGGAAAACGGCCTGTTTTTCTCTCTCCCTCCATACCGGTTCTTTCCCGCAGGAAAAGTGATCCGGTGTTTCCCATCCGGAAGCATTGAAGCGTTTACTATCTTAAACAACAAAACAATGTCCTTTGACAGGCGTCTCCACCTGTCGCTATCTCATGTGCTCAAACGTCTTGTAAGGCCGTCTTAATGTACAGCAAACTTCTTGTAAGGCCGTCTTAATGTACAGCAAACTCCTTGTAAGGCCGTCTGTTTTAAAAAAATACCTCCCTAAGTCCCACTGGCTTTTCAACCCACTGCAGTCTTCCCCAATCACGTCTCCGTCTCGGTCTTGAGGAAGTCCAAAGGGATTTGGACAAATGCAACTTCATGGGGTAAAGAATATGGCGCTCTTGGTGCAAACTCTTGGGCATCTGCTAGGATGTGAGAACGGTAGTAATAGCAGGAAGGGGTGAAAAGCTTGTCTTCTCCACTGTCTTTGTTTGCCAGGGGATTGTCTGGAGTTTAGCACTCAAAGACCCACTTCCCAGGAAAACCCTACCTGGGATGTGAAAAGTCCGGGCTTTCGGTTTTTGGCGATAGGTTGGAGAGAATATATACACACAAAAAGTGACAACCCCATCCTTGTTCCCACCCCTGCCCCAGGGCCGAAAGCAACACTGATTTTATTGCCAATGGATAATAGGGTTTAGGTTATCCCACTTTTGTAGTTGTCGCCGTTTTTCCCCTGTCCGCTGATGGTGACAACCTTGCACCGTGCATCGCTCTGAGTGAGGCGACTTAAATGCGCGATGTTACCGTTTTCAGCCGTGACCGTAGCACTCGGTCTTTGACTGTAGACTGTTGTGTCTACATAGTGCTAGTTTGTATTGCTAGTTTAATTTTTTTTTTTTTTTTTGAGACGGAGTTTCGTTCTTGTCGCCCAGGCTGGAGGGCAACGGCGTGATCTTGGGTCACTGCAACAGCTGCCTCCAGGGTTCAAGCGATTCTCCTGCCTCAGCCTCCCGAGTAGCTGGGATAACAAGCCTGCACCACCACGCCCGGCTAATTTTTTGTATCTTTAGTAGAGACGGGGTTTCACCATGTTGGCCAGGCTATTCTGGAACTGCTGACCTCAAGTGATCCGCCCGCCTCGACCTCGCAAAGTGCTGGGATTACAGGCCTGAGCCACCGCGCCCGGCCTTAGTTTAATTTTTAACATTGTGAATATTATGGCCAGATTTTTAGAGTTTAGATAACGAAAACGAGAACGATTATCATGCGAACGCCAGCATAACCCAGATAGCACTGAAAAAGTCTAAATAGACTGTTACTTCAATGACAGATAGAAGGACACATACAACCGGATTTGGAGAATAAATAATCAAAACGGAGCATACTACGCAATATTCAAAACAGATTTGGATGTGAAAGTACACAGGGAGACGGCATCTCTCAAGTCTGGGATGAGACAGGCAAGAACTTCTGAACCAATCAAAAGTGTTTTTGTCTCCCAAAAGTGACACCAGCGCTCTGTAGAGAATAGCATTGGGCTTGCTTACAAGGAGACCTTAAAAAAAGTTAAAATTAAATAAAAGAAAATGGTATTGGGCAGAATATTAGAAAAGAACACGCATTATTTTATGGCTTCCTTAATTACTCTATTTCCTGATTCAGAGGTTGCATCTCGTGGGTGAACAAGAGGAAATTCTGATACCACATATTGGTCTCTTGCAGTGTACAGCTGATTCTATCAGACGACCTTGCTCTCTACAACATAATGATGTGTCAAATCCACCTCAACCATTAAAAAAAAAGTTTCCCTTAGCTCTTACATACTTTGATTTGAAACATGATGTTGAAAATCATCTTTCCTGGTATGCATGAAGACTTAATGAAACCACTTGAAGCATAAACAATCATTGATATGTTGGTCAACTACAAGTTAGATCTTGCTCATCTATCTGCATATTTGGCAGACAGTGCAAATGTAAATTTTGGCAAATTCCATTCAGACTATAAACTTTCTACCAAAGAAAATGAAAAGATCTTACATGTGACGTGTTCTGCACATGTTGTTCACAACACTGCTAAGAGGCCGGGCGTGATGGCTCACGCCTGTAATCCCAGCACTTTAGGAGGCCAAAGCTGGTGGATCACCTGAGGTCAGGAGTTTGAGACCAGCCTGGCTAACATGGTGAAACCCCGTTTCTACTAAAAATACAAAAAATCAACGGGGTGTGGTGGCACATGCCTGTAATCCCAGCTACTCGGGAGGCTGAGGCAGGAGAATCACTTGAACCCCAGAGGCAGAGGTTGCAGTGAGCCGAGATCGTACCATTGCACTCCAGCTTGGGCAACAAGAGCGAAACTCCGTCTCAAACAAAACAAAACAAAACAAACAACACTGCTAAGAAGGATTGTGATTTGTTTACTGGTGATATTGAGGCTTTCATGGCTTAATGAGATTTATGGTCACTTTTTAGTTTCCTCAAAATGTGCAGAAACAATAAGAATTTTCACTTTATAGAAACGAAAGGAGGTAGCCTCCTTAGAAATGTCTAAAGTTGACTATAATTATTGCTGGCCATAGGATAGATGTTAAAATGTTTACTTGGTGTAAAATCATATTTTCAAAATGTGGGACAAGAGGAATGCTATTCTCTAATTTGACAATATTTTAAGAGTGAGAATGGAGAAAAGAACTACCGTAAAACAGAAATTTATACTTTCATTTGTTTGACGTTGTCGAAGAACAAAATTTCAACACACTTAGGTTAAAGATCAGATCAACTTTTATTGGCAATTCATGAATCAGGCAGCATCTCATCTACAAAATAGGAAGGTGCTCTGACGAGGAGATGAGGTTATAGGTAGAAAAGGCTGAAGAAACTACAAACAAGGAACAATAGGTGGATTGGTAATTACAAAGTGACTGTCCTTGTAAGGTTAAAGCAGAGGATACTTCCTTAACATGCTGGCTGAGGTAGTCTGGACCCTTTTCTACTGGTTATTGTGAATCTCCTGTTTTTTGGAAAACTGGCCTGTTTTAAATTTCAGTTTGATTACTTGGCACCCTGCACAAAGGGCTCCCTTCTGGTTTGGTCTGGTCTGTTGGAGCCTAATGCAGGAGCTCATTCCAAAACAATAGCCTCCCATTAATTTTAACAATGTTATGTTATGTAGATTGTGACATAAAGATTCATACACTAAGAAAAGATTCTTTTTTTAAAAAAAAAAGACTGCTTCAGAATGCAAGTTAAATAGGACTTTATCAATCTCTTGCTAAAAATACAATTTATTTGGAATCCAAGCTTTGTTTCCCAAATTTATCATTTATTTATTTCATTTTATTTATTAATTTTTTTGAGATGGAGTCTCCCTCTGTTGCCCAGGCTGGAGTGCTGTGGTGCGATCTCAGCTCGCTGCAACAGTCTGCTATTGCTAGTAAGTAAAATACCGAGTATTCAATGCTCAAATGCTTTTGTTGAGAGGATATTTAGTGTGATTTTATCACACTAGAATGATACCAGGAATCTAAGTAATATGGGCTTGATAAGAGCAGAGCTGCAATTCAAAGTGAATTTTACCTTTGACTGTATTCAGTATTACCACTATATAAAAGAAAATAAAGATGTCTTAAATGTTGCAGACAGGTCACAGAAAGAATATTGGAAAAAGAAACAGAAAGGGTAAAGATACTCGATTGTTTCATGCGACAGAAAGAAATGTCATTATTTTTTATTAAATATAGGTAATATCTGCTTAAGTAGTTTTATTGTAGTTATGTTCTTCTTTTACATTCTTGTTGTATTTTACGTTTTTGTATTTATGTTTTTCATTTATTAATGCGCCTTAAAGTTGAAATAATATAGCCTATGAGACTTAAATATCCAATAGTTTTAAAAAGTTAAAATAAATCACTACATAAGAGAACAGATAGAAATACTAAAAACATATTGTTATATTTTTCCCAAACATATTATTTATGTAATTAGTCCTATTATAAATTACTTCTAATTGCCATTATTAACTACTCCTATTGAGAGGTGACAGCATGCTGGCAGTCCTCAGAGCCCTCGCTTGCTCTCGGCACCTCCCCTGCCTGGGCTCCCACTTTGGTGGCATTTGAGGAGCCCTTCAGCCCCCCCACTGCACTGTGGGAGCCCCTTTCTGGGCTGGCC